>NC_000013.11:69468712-69620227 GCF_000001405.40 Homo sapiens | reverse complement strand
TAACAAGTTGGTTTTTAACAATCGTTAGTGTGTTTGAAGTTTATATAAAAACCAAATTTATGTCATTAATATAATTCCTCCTAATAGTCCCTTGGTAAGAAACTCTAGAAGGTCACTGTGGAGGGCTAGACAAATTTGTGCAAAGCCAAAGGATCCCCTGATAGTAACGGAATACGTATCCTTTCCCTTTAAGTTTTAATGTTATTAGAACATCTGTGATGAACAAAGTTTATCCCAATTGAGAGACATTGAGTCTGCATAATGGAAAAGACAATGAGAGAACAGAGAGTCTGGGAAGGTAATCCAGGCTCAGCACCAGGGCCAAAGGGAAATTAGAGAGGGCTGGCTCTGGCATGACATGTGGCTAATCTGGAAGACTCTGGCAAGACAAACACCCTGGCACTGGGGAACGTTTTGGCAATATGGTTATTCACAGAAGTGTGAAATAAGCCACCATCTGCTTAGAGGGGACTGTCTGAAGATAAGCCAGGCAGCATGCTATTGTTTTCTACTGAAAGACTACTGAGTCTTTCTTTGAGAAAACCCGAATATCAAAGTCACCAACACAGCAGTGAGCAACTTTCTGTTGAATTGTGGAGGCCTACTTTTCTAGAGTAATCATAACTAAAGCAACTGCAGCCAAAATCTAGTCTGGCAAATGGTTACCCTGTGAAGACCAACTAAGCCCAAGAGTTCCGGAAAGTTAGGCGGGAGAAGATCTGTATGTGGATGGTCCTTGTAACCTGAGTGTTAATAAACAATGTGAATTTATTTGAATATCTCTAGCAGACACTGTCAGCGCCCCATCTACATTTCACTGGCTCTTACCATTTCCATGATCATAGGCTCTAGTTCCGACTCCTAGACTTTCTGTTTTCTGGACTGAGAGAGCTCTCTCTGACCATCAGAATATGCTGTGCTCAAGTGCATACCAAGTCAGAAGTGTTGGGGAATAAAATAACCTCCTGGAAACAGTGTTCAGCCAATGTGGCTTGGTAGATAACTAACCCAACTTCTGCACCTGGCAAAAAGAATAACTAAGGACTACATACTCTGCCGGTACACAGAATTCCCAGATGGAATTAAATACCAGTGATCCTGAGGATCACAGCTTGAAAACACACCACATTTGTTGGCTTCCTTTCTTTCCCTACCTGTATTACTTTCCTAAAGCTGCTAAACAAAAGTGACCTCTGGATGACCAGAGGGAGGAAGCCAGTGAAAACTTTGTACATCACAGATGTTCAAATAACATTAAAACAAACTGGAGGACTTAACAAAAATGTATTAATATATTCTCTCATGGTTTTGGAAGTCAGAAGTTTAAAATCAAGGTGTCAGCAGGGCCATCCTCCCTATGGAGGCTCTAGGAAAAAATCCTTCTGTGCTTTTTCCTTGATTATAATGGTTGTCAATAATTCTTGACATTCCTTGCCTTATAACAGCGTCACTTGAATCTCTGCTTCTGTCGTGTGATGGTCTTCTCCCCTGTGTCCCTCTCTGTGTCTCTGTATCTAAATATCCCTTTCCTTTCTTTTATAAAAACACAAGTTATTGGATTTAGAACCCACCCTAACCCTGTATGACCTTATCTTGCTTATATCTACAAAGTCCCTATTTGCAAATAGGGACTTTGCAAATATGACCTTTGCAAAGGTCATATTCCTAGTGGACATGAACTCTGGGGAAATATTGTTCAATCCAGTACAAATTCTCAGTTGTTTTCCTCATATCCAGTGTTTCTAAAGATCACTTTTCAAAGAAACAACTTGCACAGATATTCTTGTTTTAGGCTCCACTTACGGGGAAACTACTTGCCTAATGACTACGCAAGGTCTTATAGGAGATAGGTGCCTGTCAAGATGAAACCTCCCACTTTCCCTCATTGTTTCTAGACTAGTATATAGGCTCAAGCCTCATTATGGCTTAATGAGGAAAGCCCTGTCTCTGTTTCACGAGGAAAATAACTATTCACCAAAAGAACAGAGAATCCAGCTATTAGAAACAAACCAGAACCAACAGATCATAATTGGAATGAATTGTGATGGTTCTGGGTCAAAGTGGGCTGAATATAAGGCTGAATAAAGTAGAGTTGATTAGCAATTGAGTTTTTATCTTTTTATTTCATAATTAATATCTTGTCAGAACACCTGGAGCTAGCTTTAATATGCTGGTGGGATGAATTCTCCAAGCATAAAAAATTAAAACAAAACAAAACAAAAAGACACAATCAAGGTAATAAGTAGAAATGAAGTGGAAATGCCAGAATTGCTTTGAGACCAAAAGGCTGAGAGGGCAGCAAGCTAGACTAGATTTATTAAATAAGATTAAAGAAACTAGCAGCTGACTCTGATCTCTAGGAGGCCTCTAAGGACAATCACTTCCCTAAAGCAATAAGGAATGTACTATTGAGGCGCTCTCAGCTTTATTGAGAAACCAGTGGTGGCTATCCCCGGCAAGCTGGGAATGATGATAGAAAGGCTTTTATGTAACTGGATTGTGTAATGTCCTTGAGGAAGAGAGGATTCCAAAATAATAGAGGTTATGTTTCAGCACTTAACTATCAGAGACAAGGTGGGCATAATTATGATAATAGACACAAGGGTGAAATGACACTCCTGGACCTCCAGGGATCTGTGGTTGGCTAATTGACTATGGTGTTCTTAAGGAAAAGATAAAATGGACAGCTATTGAGTGCATTTCTTAAATCCTATAATGAAGAAAGGTAAAGATTGGAGGAGCAAAAAACTAATGTCAACTGCCATAGTGGAAAAATCACAATCCTTGGCTTAATTTCCAGGACAGAGCTATCCTTCAAACTCAAAGTCCTTTGATTAAAGGAATGCCAGCGGTTTTAGTGCAACTACAACATATATAAATAGCAGTAATTATTTCAGTCTATCTCCAGGAGACCTATGACCATTCACCAGAGTAACTGTATTTGGAGAAAGAGGAATACCCAAATCTTTTTAGGATTGTTGAAAAGAGTTTGAACTGTTATTAATACTATAGGTCATTTGTTAGAATGGAGGCTTTAAATTTCTGGTGGTAACTGAGGTACTACTCCAAATTCATCTTATAATGTGCTTAATAGGTCTTAGTACCATATAATACATCACCAGGAAAACTGCTAGCCTGGTGAAGTGCTGGGATGAACTCTTAAAGGCACAGCTAGTGACCTGGTTATGACATTTTTGTAATTGGGGCAATCTTCTTCAAGATGAAGAATATACTAGGGTCCAACAGCCAGTATATGATAATTTATTGCATTGTGTGGAATATATGAGTCTGGGATCCAAAAGTTGGAAGGAGAAGAACCCTTTTTTACATATCTCAGTGAACCACAAGTGGAAACTCTGCATCTTCTCCCTGTAAATGTAAGCACTGCTTGATTAAAGGCCCTGGTCCCTGAAAGGTACTTTTCCCAGGGCCACAGTAAGGTAAAGCTGTGGTGGCTCCTCAGTCACTTTGAACTCCTTGCACGAGGAAACCAGACAGCAAGAAAGTCACTAGACTGGCAGGGGGAATTGACCATGTACTACATAAACAGCAGAGAAAAACAGTGTCTGGAACTTATGAAATTGATGTTTCTGTGACTAGTGACAACTGTGAATGGGCAATTGCATCAGCCATAGCCTGACATAAAAAGGGTCACCGGGGCTCAACTTTCATCATGTGAGTAATCTAGACCAGCAAAACTTCAGGTTGTGGATGAGTGGATGAGGTGAATCTAATAAGGCATTACGGATATTGCTTCTTTGAGACCATTATTCCATATCCCATGGAAACATTGAGTGTTGTGGACATCCCAGTAAAGCTCCTAAGATTAACTTTTTGGAGGATTTTTTTTTTTAAGAAAGTTGTCCGCAACAATCTTGAAGAAGTGTGAGATGACAGTGTAAAATTAACTTGGTAGATGTGAGTGGTACAAGTTGTCTACTGTGGTAGGCGTTGGTCCCCCATCCAGATTACCTCAGCTACTACTTTAAAGCAAGGTGCCTTAAGTTTTCTGTCCTGTGTCCCTCTGCCTGAGAATTTATCTAGCTGCCAAAATCTATTGAAACTAGAAATTCTGGGGAATCAGCACCACTTTCTCCCCAGGGCCTTTCAACCAATTACTGATAAAACATAGTGGAATAATACTCCAGGTCCTGGCTCCTCAGATTTTTTTAGTTGAATGAAGTTCTAGTTGTCTACAATGGTTTCTTATTTAATTTGCTTCCTACTTGTTTGTTTCACTTCCCAATTTGTATACAGGTATTTACTGATATTGACTACTAAATAAATTACTTGCATTTTAATTATTGTCTTGAGCAAACCCTAACAAAGACAAACTTCAACTAGTAATGCAAGCCATACTGGTTTCATAGATATGTCTTGTTTTTTGTGGGGAAAAGAAAGAGATCAGATTGTTACTGTGTCTGTGTAGAAAGAAGTAGACATAGGAGACTCCATTTTGTTCTGTACTAAGAAAAATTCTTCTGCCTTGAGATGCTGTTAATCTGTAACCTTACCCCCAACCCTGTGCTCCCTGAAACATGTGCTGTGTCAACTCAGGGTTAAATGGATTAATGGCGGCGCAAGGTGTGCTTTGTTAAACAGATGCTTGAAGGCAGCGTGCTCCTTAAGAGTCATCACCACTCCCTAATCTCAAGTACCCAGGGACACAAAACACTGCAGAAGGCCGCAGGGACCTCTGCCTAGGAAAGCCAGGTGTTGTCCAAGGTTTCTCCCCATGTGATAGTCTGAAATATGGCCTCGTGGGAAGGGAAAGACCTGACCGTCCCCCAGCCCGACACCTGTAAAGGGTCTGTGCTGAGGAGGATTAGTAAAAGAGGAAGGAACGCCTCTTTGCAGTTGAGACAAGAGGAAGGCATCTGTCTCCTGCCCGTCCCTGGGCAATGGAATGTCTCAGTGTAAAACCCAATTGCATATTCCCTCTACTGAGATAGGAGAAAACCGCCTTAGGGCTGGAGGTGGGACATGCGGGCAGCAATACTGCTCTTTAAGGCATTGAGATGTTTATGTGTATACACATCTAAAGCACAGCACTTAATTCTTTACCTTGTTTATGATGCAGAGACCTTTGTTCACGTGTTTACCTGCTGACTTTCTCTCCACTATTATCCTATGACCCTGCCACATTCCGCTCTCCAAGAAACACCCAAGAATGATCAATAAATACTAAGGGAACTCAGAGGCTGGCAGGATCCTCCGTAAGTTGAACGCCAGTCCCCTGGGCCCCCTTTTTTCTTTCTCTTCACTTTGTCTGTGTCTCTTTCTTTTCCAAGTCTCTCGTTCCACCTAATGAGAAACACCCACAGGTGTGGAGGGGCAACCCACCCCTTCAGTTTTTTACTACATTTACTTGAAAAATAATGAATATAGTGCCCTATGTTATCTCTTGTATCATACATTAATATTTACATATGCAACTGGTTTATTAAATATAACAGTAAGCATAAATTTTGAAAGTGTAAATAGGTAATATGAGCATAAATTTTGTAAGTGTAAATAGGTAATATGAGCATAAATTCTGTAAGTGTAAATATGTCATGATCATAAATTTTGTAGGTGTAAATATCTAATGAGTGTAAATTTTATAAGTGTAAATATGTAATGAATGTAAATTTTGTGTTAATTTTGTAAGTGTAAATATTTTGCTCATGTTTATGTTTTGTGTCTTTTAAAACTTATCCTCAATTCAAGAATATGGGATCTGACTTCTGTAACAAATACTAAATACCTTAATGATAAGATTATGTGATATTCTAGACATCTTAGATAAATTTCTCTTATTTCAACGTAACCTTGTGTTTATTAGTCCATTTTCATGCTGCTGATAAAGACAGATTCGAGACTGGGAAGAAAAAAAAAGACTTATTTAGACTTACAGTTCCACATGGCTGGGAGGCTTCAGAATCATGGCGGGAGGCAAAAAGCACTTCTTGCATGGTGGTGGCAAGAGAAAAATGAGGAATATGCAAAAGCGGAAACCCCTGATAAGACCATCAGATCTCGTGAGACTTATTCACTACCATGAGAACGGTATGGGGGAAACTGCCCCTCTGATTCAAATTATCTCCCACTGTGTCCTTCTCACAACATGTGGAAATTATGGGAGTACAATTCAAGACGAGATTCAGGTGGGGACACAAAGCTGAACCATATCACCTTCATCAGGTTTAAACACCTGATGTTTAAACCTTCAATTAAACTTCAAGAAAAAGAGACATAGAAACCACCTCTTTATGGAAGGAATGATAGAAAATCTTGATATTACCACAAGCCTCAAGGGAAAGGCCAAGTTATTTGTCTATCTTTAAAATGAAGGGTGCACCTGTAACCCCCTCTTAGTCCTCAGTAGTGGAACATATCAGAAGGCCTAATCAACACTTTTTTTTTTTTAACAAAGATTTACATTTATTTGCCCTCATTTACTGGTGACAGAGCCATTTTATTAGTTGTGTTGAGAACACATGAATTTCATTTGTATGGTTTCACTTGCATGCTATCCTTTTTTGCCTACATTTAGAGTCATTGTTTTGTAAAGTGAATCACCTTTTATAATAGCTACAGGAAAAAAAAGTAGGAAAGTAAATATATTTAAGCTAAGTCCTTGATACACTTATTTAACAAATCAAAGCAGTGCTTCATGAAGCAGCCGCCAGCTCAAATAGGCCCATCAGTTTGGGCTTCTCCATGACAAACTCTTTGTCTCTGCTTCCTCTTACTGGTTTTTGTTACAGATAGTTAGACAGGCATGAGTGGGGCAGGAGAAGGCTCTCCCACCCACCAGGGATGTCAGGTGATGGTTCAGCAGTTATCACATTGCCTTTCTAAAAGTGACAAATTGGCAATCAGATCCAGGTAGAGGCCATTTCCTGATGGTCCACACTTGTTGCACTAAAGTGTTAACTGAATGTAGATGCCAGGGAGAAGCAACTTCCTGGGCATGTGCATTAAGAGACAAAATGGCGGAGTGTAACTTTCTGGGGGCACTCCACTGAAAAAGGGAAGAAAGCCACAAAATGGGCACAACTTCTTAAACACACTGCATATGCTCACTTTCCAAGGGCAATGGGGGCACTGTGCATGCCAGCAGCCCACCCTCAGTGAAGAATTATGGTAAAGAGGCCAACCTATAAAGTCCTAGGATCAAGGTTAAACACTGCCCTTGACCTTCAGGTGACCACTTGGGTCTTTTCCAAGTGAATTTTCCTTTCCTCTTCTAAACGCTTTGTTTTTTTGTTTTGTTTTGTGTGTGTGGTTTTTGTTGTTGTTGTTGTTTGAAATGGAGTCTTGCTCTGTCTCCCAGGCTGGGGTGCAATGGGTTGATCTTGCCTCACTGCAACCTCCGCCTCCCAGGTTCAAGCAATTCTCCTGCCTCAGCCTCCCGAGTAGCTGGGATTACAGGTGTGTGTGGCTAATTTTTTTTTTTTTTTTTGTATTTTTAGTAGAAACAGGGTTTCACCATGTTGGTCACGCTGGTCTGGAATTCCTGACCTCAGGTGATCTGCCTGCCTTGGCCTCCCAAAGTGCTGGGATTACAAGCGTGAGCCACTGCGCTTGGCCTCTAAACCCTTTTAAAATAAACTTCCACTCCTGCTCTGAAAGTTGCCTGAGTCTCTTCTGCATTATGCCCCTCACTAGATTTCTTTCTTCTGAGGAGGCAAGAATTGAAGTTACTAGAAATCCATATGGACTTGCTGCCAATGACTCAGATACCTTCCACCAGCAACATTTTTAAACCATTGCTGATCTGTTCCACCTTCTTAATATTTTCTTTGGTCACTATTAAAGTTTGAATGTGGCATTGAACAGAGGAATGATATGGGGACTCTCAGATTTTATTGGCAAGAAAATCATCTAGAGTAAGAGGGTTTGGGGTTGGTTTTGTTTTGTTGTTGTTGTTGTTTTTTCTTTTTCTTCTTGCCTTGCCGGTATGCTTAATTATCTGTTCAGTCAGATAGTTTTCCTGCAACAAACTTGTCTTCTCCCTTGAGAGAACAATAGCCTTGCAGAGGCAAGTCTGTATGTCTGAATAAAAATAGAATTAGCTATAGGGGAAATTATCTGTTTGCTGCAATGAATTCTTCTCTATGGCTTTCTTTTGAACTAGATTACCAATATTCTTCACGAATACAAAATTGGGCAGCTGAAATTCATATCATTTTGATGAAATGAATAAATTCAGTGGGGACTACCACTGGTTCTGAGAGTCTCTAAGAGAGAAGAATTTGTGCTTATTTTGAAGACTCTACAGATAAGAACAAAAGATAATATAAGCTCCAAACAGGCAAGCCGATTTCATGTTTGCCTCGGGCAAACCAAATGTTCACTGTTGATTTACTGTTGAATTGTGAGAGCAAAGGGTTATAAAAGCAAAAACAATCTTTGTTCTTCTTTTTTTCCTCATTGTGACTCCTTGATACCCTAAAGTAATATGATTTGCTACGGATGATGTGAAGAAAAGTTGGTTAGACTTATGGTTCTGGAAACTTTCAACCGTTTTAACATTGTGGACATGAAGCGTTGAAAATCAAACCATTTCTGTAAGAAGGTTAATAATATTTTTACAAATAAAGATGGGGAATTGAGTTTCAGTGATGGATTTCTACCTAGCATTATTGTGAAAACTGTGAAGTTGAGGTTAAAACAGTAACACCACAAAATATTCTTCCTGGTGTCCTGGTATTCCTTTAGAAGTGGCACAGGTTTATTAAACATTAGTTATAAAGACTAGAAAAGTCAAAACATTCAAATGCTCTCATATGAGAAAGAGAACCATTATTGTTTGAAAATATCTTGCCAAGAATGATGCATCACTACTCACCTGAGTGAGACATACCAATGAGTTAACATAAATTGGGATAAATCAGTTTTCAAGGGGCACTTTTTCTCTGCACATTAAGAATAAAAGATTTTACTTTCCTAATTTTTTTTTTTTTTTTTTTGAGACAGAGTCTCGCTCTGTCACCCAGGCTGGAGGGCAGTGGTACTATCTCGGCTCACTGCAAGCTCCGCCTCCCAGGTTCATGCCATTCTCCCGCCTCAGCCTCCCAAATAGCTGGGACTACAGGCGCCCACCACCACACCCGGCTAATTTTTGTATTTTTAGTAGAGATGGGGTTTTCACAGTGTTAGCCAGGATGGTCTCGATCTCCTGACCTCGTGATCTGCCCGCCTTAGCCTCCCAAAGTGCTGGGATTACAGGAGTGAGCCACCGCGCCCAGCCTTCTAACTTCTTTTACTTTTAAAAACAGTGAAGAAAAAAATCATAGTATTTCTATATTTTTACAGAAATCTTACTAACCTGATATAATTTATCCTGCCAACAATACCATGAATCAGATAAGAAATGAAACTCAGAAAAGACCTACCTAAATTAGCAGAGCCTGAGAAAAGGCTAAATATGGATTCAGACTCATAGTTTACTGACCTCAAAATCTGATCCATCCTTTTCATATTATAGCTCCTATGGGTTCTAAAATGTGTCAGGATTATAAAATTTTCTATAAATAAGGCAAAAAATAAGAAAACATTTTAGAATTTATCTCTCCCATTAGACAAGAAGTAGAAATCATTAATAAATTTGGACATCATTGTAACAATTTCACACCTGAAATTTGAATTAAGTAGTCAAATAAGCCTTATCCTCTAAATTGCATTATAATTACCATCAGGAGCCATGGAGTTCTCTAGAATTTTCATGTTGTCAGCTTCACACAGTGCATTACTTTCCAAGGACTGCTATAATAAGTACCACAAAATGGTGACTTAACAGAAATTTATTGACTGGGTTATGGAGGTTAAAAACTCTAAAATGAAGGGGTCAGCAGGGTTGCTTCCTACTGAGGGTCTAAAGAAGAGCCTGTTTAGTGCCTCTCTTCTAGCTTCTGGTGACAGCAGTAATCTTTGGCATTTCCTGGCTTGTACATACATCCCTCCAGTTTCTGCCTCAGTCTTCATATGCTGTTCTCCTTCTGGGTCTCTGGTCTCTTCTATTCTCATAAAGACAGCAGTTATATTGGATAAAGAGTCCACCATAGTTGACATATCCACATCGTAATTTGCATCATAATTTTATCTACAAAGACCTGATTTCCTAATAAGATCACTTTCACAGGCATCAGGACTTCAACATACCTATTTGGGAAGCGCAGTTCTGTCATAATAAATAGAAATGATACAGCAGAGATCAGTTAAAAAATGACCAAGCAGAAAACTATAAAGCCTGAAGAAACTGAGTAGATGCAGGAATATTGATAACTGTGTGTGTATGTGCATGTGTGTGCTTATATGTGTGTTATTGTATTCAAATTAATGCATTGATTTTAGACTTGTTTCTTTTTTTTAAAGAGATATGAAACTGGAAAGTTAAGAATTTGAACAGACTATTTCAATGATCTGGGACGCATTTCTTTTCTGTCTAAAAATAACTTGCCAATTTTAAGGTTTCTTAGACGGAGGTTTATCTACAAGGAGTCTTTTTGAATCCAGTCTTTAGGGCTTGTAAATTTTTTTCTCCAAAAAGTTTCTCGAATACTCCAATATTTTTATATTAAAAAATCTGTTTCAGGACTTATCAGTTTATTATCTTGTTTCACAGAAGAATTGATCCTAGTTTCTTGAGGAATTTTTTATACTTTAAAATCATATGTCAACTTTCTAGTATTTAAACCAGTGTGTAGATCTTTTCTTTTTTCTCTCAAAAAGCTAAAATTATACTTTAGTAATTATGAGTATTCAATTAATGTGTGGAATAGAATATACAATATGAATCTGAAACGAGAGTCATATTAATAGAGTATCCAGACTCTTATTTTATAGTTATCACACAGAGAGTTAATTCCCTAAAGTTAAGAAGCTAACATCTAGAAAGCTAGAATAAAAATCTTTAGGTCAACACTAGTTTAATTTATTTTATAAAGTGAAACATTTCTCTACTTACTCAAAAAGATCTTTTGCCTACTGTGCACAAGGCATCAGGCCTTTTTGAGTAAAATATATTAAACTTAGAAATCAAGTCTTCCTGTTTGTGCAGGCAGTTTTATATGTGCATTGCTTTTTACTTCTTATAGGTCTGATCTATTCTTTCCTATAGAGTTTTAAAAAGCTATTTTGAAATCTGATATAAAGTTATTTTATTTTCCTTATACTGTTTTGGTTTTTTCAATAATTATACTTTCATAGTACTGTAATATTTGAATGTTCTAATATCAGGTTATTTTCTTTTTGTTTAGAAACTAAATTAAAGTAGTATAAAATGGCCGGGTGCAGTGGCTCATGCCTGTAATCCCAGCACTTTGGGAGGCCGAGCGGGGCGAATCACGAGGTCCAGAGATTGAGACCATCCTGGCCAACATGGTGAAACCCCGTCTCTACTAAAAATACAAAAATTAGCCGGGCATGGTGGCACGCGCCTGTAATCCCAGCTACTCGGGAGGCTGAGGCAGGAAAATCTCTTGAACCCGGGAGTCGGAGGTTGCACAAGATCGCCACTGCACTCCAGCTTGGCGACAGAACAAGACTCTGTCTCAAAAAAAACAAAAATAAAAATAAATAAATAAATAAATAAAGTAGTATAAAACTATCCTTGGTACCTGTCTCTCTTATTTAGTATTGGCTCTTGCTTTTATGTGACACAGATTTCAGAGCAAACGTAGTAGTAGAGAATTGTTATCAATCTCTATTCTCCCCTTTTTAGATCAGAGGGTAGCTTCCTAGATGTGATATCATATTCGAAGAAGAGAATATTAATGCTGTGACCTAAATTCTTTCTTTAAGCTCCTGAACTAGGCTTCTTGGCTGATGAACTAGTGAACAGGAAAGCAGTCATGTTGGGCACTTGGTGAACATGCAGTGAAGGGTGGAGACTGGGCTCATCAGCTCCTCCAAACCCAGATTCTCGCTATCAAAGTCATGCATTTGGGAGATATAACTCATTTTTGGGGGGGCATGCCATTTATGAAGAATGCCATATGGAGGGAGGGCTACTACCAAATTCTGAAGTAGTTCATGACAGAGTTCTGTGATATGTCATTGGATGTTAGGACCTGATGAAATCTATGACAGGGCGAGTAATTTCTGGTTACTCTGTTAACCAGGTTTACTTAATTCAGAATTTCTTAGATCTCTGAATATTATCGTGATTGTGAATCACTAAAAGTAGAGATACACTTTGTAGTATTTTCAAACTTCACAGAAGTCTACCTTATCTGAATATATTATGGGACTTTATTTCAAAATATTTCCTTTAAGGGAAAACAATGACCTGTAGAATTACTTCTAATCCTTTATGAGAGTGACATTTAAAGATGAAAAAAAAATGTAGTCTCATGGGAGATAATCTCTGGAATTTAGTATAACTTGACTGAGAGCATCAATATTGAAAAGACAGGACAAAACCTATAAATGTATGACTTTCAGGAGGAAAGTGTTATTTTACTTATCTAAAAAGGTATTATTTTACAATGCAGAGATTTGCCTATAAAGAAACAATTCTCATTGAGCCTAAATAAGGATTAAAGCTACTTAATTTTGATATTCATGTACTTTAGTTTGTTTTAAACTATCTGAAAAACATATTGTTTTTCAGATATGAAGTCTTTGTTACTTTAAATTATTATTAGTTAACTACTTTGAGTTAAACGTTTATAGGCATTTTTTTTCTTTTTTTTTTTATTTTTTTGAGACGGAGTCTTACTGTGGCCCAGGCTGCCAGGCTGGAGTGCAGTGGTGTGATCTCAGTTCACCGCAACCTTTGCCTCCCGGATTCAAGCAATTCTCCTATCTCATCCTCCCAAGTAGCTGGGATTACAGGGATGCGCCACCACGTCCAGCTAATTTTTTGCATTTTTAGTAGAGACGGGGTTTCACCATGTTGGTCAGGCTGGTCTCAAACTCCTGACCTTGTGATCTGCCTGCCTCGGCCTCCCAAAGTGCTGGGATTACAGGCGTGAGCCACCAAGCCCAGCTAACTTTTCTTTTTAAGGGTATAAAATTAAATTCATTAAATGGTGAATAATCATTTTCTACCTTCACTGAAATGTAAATACAACCAAAAAATTTGAAAAACGCATGATGTAAATACCTTGAGAATATTTGGTTTAAATATCAATAAATATATTCTAAAATAACATCTGTAAAGTGAATTATTATGTGGACACACAACTGATGGTTTAGTTAACATGTTTTATTGCCTCAGAGCAGACAACTAAACTCACTGAATATCTTTGATGCTTTCTAGTTTCTTCTCTTCAATAAAAAAAAAAAAAAACTTGACTAAATATGCCAAGTGAAAGCTAACTTTTAAAACATGGTACCTTTGAAAAATTAGATATCATCGCTGTTATTCAGAAGAACTGACCACCAAGGTTAAACATGTCATAAAATGTTAAAAACTCATCTCATTTTATGAAGAACTTTATTTTAATTTTCCAGTTCAAGACACTAACTTAGGAATCAAAGCTGCTTTAAGCAGCAAATATTAGAGATTAACACCATACAGCTAATTAAGTTTTCTCTCTCATCTTTCAAAATTTAAATTATCCCCTAACCACAGACCTACTTAGGAAAATATTTCTATACTTACCTATCTCCTGGTACTTTTTCTACCTTGTTTGTTGGTCTAACTGAACCTCAGTCCAGATGCTTCTTCCTTAGAAAACAATCTTTTAAAGACAAGATTCTGTTTTACTGTGTTCAGGGCGTGGTTTTTCCTTAATTTTCTATGCTGGAGATTTGCACTCAGTATCCATGCATACTAGAGACGTTGCTTTTATCCTTAAGTTGATAGATGACAGCAGGAAATGGACAGAATTGTTGCCTCTCCAGCATGCATTCACTGTGCCTACTGAGGGCAGCAAGGCAGTTACGATGAATCTGATCATACTGTAACCACCCAATTGGTTCACCTTGCCTGTTGCCTAGACAGAGGCAATTCATCGAAACAGGGAAATTGCAATATAGAAGGAGTAATTCATGCAGAGCTGGCTGTGCTGGAAACTGGAGTTTTATTATGACTCAAATCAGTCTTTCTGAGCTTTCAGGGATCTGAGTTTTTAGGGACCACTTGGTGGGTCGGGGGAAGCCAGTAAGCCAGGAGTGCTGATTGGTTAGGTCAGCAATGAAATCAAAGGGAGCTGATAAGGTTTGGCAATGTCCCTACCCAAATCTCATCTTGAACTGTAGTTCCCACAATAACCACGTGTCATGGGAGGGACCCACTGAGAAGTAATTGAATCAGGGGGGTGGTTACTCCCATGCTGTTCTCGTAATAGTGAGTTCTCATGAGATCTGATGGTTTTATAAGGGGCTTTTCCTCCTTTGCTTGGCAGTTCTCCTTCCTGTTGCCCTTGAAGAAGGTGCATTTCTTCCACCATGATTATAAGTTTCCTGAGGCCTTCCCAGCCATGAGGAACAGTGAATAAATTAAACCTTTTCTCTTTACAAATTATCCAGTCTCGAATATTTCTTCATAGTCACATGAGAACAGACTAACAGAGGAGTCGAAGCTGTCTTCTTATGCCAAGTCAGTTCATGGGTGGGGCAACAAAATCAGGTGAGACAGTTTTTCACTCTGGGTGGTGCCAGCTGATCCATCAAGTACAGGTTCTGCAAAATATCTCAAGCACTAATCTTAGGAGCAGTTTAGGGAGGGACAAAATCTTGTAGCCTCCAGCTGCATGACTCCTAAACCATAATTTCTTTTGTTTTGAGACAGAGTCTTGCTCTTTCACTCAAGCTGGAGTGCAGTGGCGCGATCTCAGCTCACTGCAAGCTCTGCCTCCCAGGTTCACGCCATTCTCCTGCTTCAGCCTCCCACGTAGATGGGACTACAGGCGTCCGCCACAGCACCCGGCTATTTTTTTTTTTTTTTGTATTTTTAGTAGAGACGGGGTTTCACCGTATCAGCCAGAATGGTCTCGATCTCCCGACCTCGTGATCCACCCACCTCGGCCTCCCAAAATGCTGGGATCAGAGGCGTGAGCCACTGCGCCCGGCCCTAAACCATAATTTCTAATCTTGTGGCTAATTTGTTAGTCCTACAAAGGCAGTCTAGTCCCCAGACAAGAAGGAGATTCGCCTTGGGAAAGGCCTGTTATCAGCTTTGTTTCAAACTATAAGCTATAAACTAAGTTCCTCCCAAAGTTAGTTCAGTCTATGCCCAAGAATGAACAAGGACACAGTGGAGGTTAGAAGCAAGATAGAGTTGGTTAGGTCAGATCTCTTTCACTGTCTCAGTTAAAATTTTGCAGTGGTGGTTTTGGTACTCTCAGCTTTAGAGCTTGCTCTGTAATGTCATCCCTTTTGCCTCCGTAATTGGGTTAAGCCATGCTTATCTCAACAACCACAAAGCAAGCCTAGGCACCTGTGGTAAGCTAAATAATGGCCTCCCAAAGATGTCTACAGCCTGTGCCCCAGAACTTGTTAATGTTACTTTATATGGCAAAGGTACTTTGCATATGTAATTAAGTTAAGGATCTTGAGATGTGGAGGTTATCCAGAATTATTTGGTTGGGTCCTAACTGTCATTACAAGAATCTTTATTAGAAGGGTTCAGAAGGAGTCAAAGTTTGAGGAGAAGGTGATGTGATGGTGCATTGGAGTGATGCACTTTGAAGAGCCCACAAGAAATACAAACATCCACTCTAAGAAAACACGAGAGGTTCAAAGAGATGAGGAAACAGATTCTCCCCTGAGAGCCTTCGGAAAGAACCAGCTCTGCAGGCATTTTGACTTTGGCCCACTGAAATTGTTTTCAGACTTCTGACTTCCAGAACTGTTAGAGGCTAAATTTGTGTTATTTTATGCTACTAAATTTGTAGTAATTTGTTACAGCAGTAATAAAAAGCTAGCATAGGATTAGGATCCAATTGATGGGCTTTTCTTGTATAGTTGGTTACAAAAGAAACTTTGTTTTTTCTGTATGGCATATAGGACAAATGTGAGATATGAAACTTTTAACCATTAACCTCTATGACAGAGGTCAGCTTGAATTTGAAAATGACAAAAAGTAAAACAACAACAACAACAACAAGAAAACAGTAGCATGGCCTTGATCAAAACATGCTTAAAACCTGCAATAATTCAGGACTCTTGCAATAATTACATAAGCCTACAGATTCCTGTGATTTTTGAGAAAGGATGTTAGTTACTTGCAGTGAGAAGCAGCCTACTTGATAAAACAGTTTTGCACAAAACCTAAATTTTTAAATAAAACTTCTAATATGCTTTCATAGTTGGATCAATGAGAAAAAAGCTGTCCTGGTTTGGACTAGTATATTGGATAGTAAGAATACTGAAAGCAAGCATGGTATCAAGGTGTCTGTCTTGTTTAATGCCATATCTTCACTATTGAGCACTGTTCATTGAATATGATAGGTGCTTAATAAATATTTTTGAAATGAATTGATGACTGAATATAAAAGTATATTGTATGATCCTGGTATCATTATTATTGCCTTAAAAATTATTGCCAGTGTTGCCTTAAATATGTGTTTCAAGCTATATGAGACTGAATATACAAATGCACAGTGGCCAGACAGTAAATGACAGTGAAACTCTGATTCATTACCTCTGCCACAACCAGACCAGGAAGACAAACCACAACAATTCAATGAAAATAGTCAGAACTTGGTCAGTGATGGCCAATTTTTCTGTTTTCGTACTATGCATCCAACTCAAGACTAAATATATATGTCCAAACTTTTCACAAAAGATACCTAGCTCATAGTTAGCCTGCCTCCAGTTCTTCTATGCCAGTAACCTCCAATCAGACTGAAATTGGATTGTTCCCTGGTCCCCCTCACAGAGCATGTGACAGGGGTGTGGCTCTCTGTTCACCGGCAGTAAATTCAAACCCCTAGCAGGAGGGGGAGCATACAGATTGGCAGGTGCGGAGGCCAGGGCAAGTGCTTTGGGTTCCAGCCCTGCAGTAGTGTCTAGGGTTGGGTGGCTGTGACCCCAGTGTTATAATGCTCTTTTAGCTCTGCTCTCTGCAGACAGCCCAAGTGTTAACCAGCTCCCTCTGCCTTTCTGCAAGGGTAGAGGGCCAGTGTGACAGCTTTCTGTATCCTGAGCTTTTATCCAGTGTCCAGGAAGAATCAAGTCACACACGGACTTGAAGGATGAATGTGGGGGTTTTACTGAGTCGAAGAGGTGGGTCTCAGCAGGATGGATGGGAAACTGAAAGGGGGATGGAGTGTGAAGGTGATCTTTCCCTGGAGTTAGGCTGTCCAGTGGCGGAATGCCTCTCCGACCGCCCCTAGCCGAACACCTCTCGGCATTTAGATGTTTCTTCTGTTTTCCCTTTCTCTACATGACTTCTTGCCTACTAGCCTCCTTGTCTCCTCATCTGCTCATCTCCTGATCTCCTCGTCTGCTCATCTTCTCCTGGAACCTGGGGTTCAGGGTTTATATGGGTACAGGATGCGGGGGGTGTGGCAGGCCAAAAAACAACGTTTTGGGTGCAAAAACAGATATGCCTGTTCCCACTTAGGGCTGTGGATATCCAAGCTTGAAGGTGGGGCCTTTGCCAGGGAACCGCCCTCTTCTACCCAGTGTTTCCGTCTCCTGTTCTTATCAAGGCCATACCTGAAAGCTTGCCTTTTTGCACTATAAAGCTTTCCTACTCTCCAGCCCGTCATTCAGCCTCTGCCAAAGACAAGCGATTGTGTCTGACCCCTTTGCCTCTGTTTTTTCTCATTTGGCTTGTCTTCATTTGTTTCCATAGCTATACAAATAAGGTAGACAATGATCTTTCTTAAGATTGTCTCTTCTCTTTGTCACTTATGTCTAACAAATCATTTCTGAAAAAAAAAGGTATCTTCTGAAAAAAAAGTTACCTTCTTAATAAAATTAAACCAAATACATGGATAAACCTAATTTTAAAAAATAGTTTAAAATATTTTTGAAGTAAATAGATAGGCACTAAAGAGTACTTCCTGTCCAGAAATACGTCTCCCACTGATCTGATCTTTGCTTAAAATTTGAAAATTGGGATATCATTTAATTCATTTATTAATGAAAAATGTGAACAAACATTAAAATGTTCCAGGTATGGAGCTAAGAACAATGCCACAGTGATGAATATATTCTGCCCCAATCTCAGGGAGTTTACAGTCCTAAAATTAGAGAAGACATTGAATGGCCTTGATATGGTTTGGCCATGCCCCCACCCAAATCTCATATTGAATTGTAGCTCCCATAATTCCCACATATTGTGGGAGGGACCCAGTGGGAGATAATTGAATCACTGGGGCATTTTCCCCCATACTGTTCTCTTGGTAGTGAATAAGTCTCAAGAGATCTGATGATTTTATAAGGGGTTTCCCCTTTTGCTTGGCTCTCATTCTCTCACGCTTGCTGACATGTAAGACATTCCTTTCACCTTCTGCCAAGACTGTAAGGCCTCCCAGCCACGTGGAACTGCGAGTTCATTAAACTTCTTTTTGTAAATTAACTAGTCTTGGGTATCTTTATCACCAGCATGAGAACAAACTGATACAGGCATATTTACATAAATATATATTTAATAACTTTCATAAGGGCCAAGGGTAGAAATGCAGGATGATCAAAGTATATGGTACAAAGGCTCCAGACTTGACTCTGGGGAGCAAGCAAGAAGGACATTTATAGCACCTGACACACAGTGTTTTAGTGAGGGATAAATGTATGCAGAGGTTAAACAATGCCTGGAGTAATGGTTGAGGATCGATCGCCCCTCTCTCCAATTATCTTCTAAAACCTCTGAGATGAGTCATGATTCCAGGAAGGGTTTGGAAACCAAATGGCTATAGCTGAATTCCTGTTATTTTGGCAGAATGGGACATAAAAATAGAAATGATTTGAGTTATAGAAAAACAAAATTATACTCCTTACCTGCTAGAGATTTTGGACTTCCATTCACACCTATTATACCTATACAGCC
Source organism: Homo sapiens (assembly GCF_000001405.40). NCBI lineage: Eukaryota > Metazoa > Chordata > Mammalia > Primates > Hominidae > Homo > Homo sapiens. The sequence continues at coordinate 69,601,290 of NC_000013.11, read as the reverse complement.
TGAGTGTTAATGATTATATCAGTTTCATTTCCTGCTCTTGTAGAAATATATGTGTTTTAAAATGAAACAAATACTGCCATTAGCCATTTGAAAACAATCGAGTAAAGATTACTCAAGAGCCGTTTGGCTTCTGCAAGACAAAGGACAGACCCCTTAGTAGAGTTTCCAGGAATACTCTTTACAAGTTATCCCCAATACAATTTGTCTGTACTTTCCTAAGACTATCTGTCACCTCCCTTGGACGCTTAGCATTTTTAACATGCCAGACTTCTATCCCTTGCTCATGGAAACTGTTTCACAGCTCCATTTTTCCATTCATGTTGGTCAACTTGAAATGCCTTTTTTGCTTTCTCTGGCTTGATCATTACACAAGACCAGGCTTAACATGAACTCCTCTGTGAGGCTTTTTCCATTCATCTCACCTCAAATACACACTATTAATTGCCTACTTTACTGTTAAAAACAGCACATTTTCTTATTACTAAATTTAGTATTCCGAAGTATTAGGGCATTGGAGATGAAAGCCATACATTTTAGTTGTCTTTATTAGTAAAATTCTCTCTATATGAATGTTCAAAGTTATGTATAAACTTTTAAATCTAGATTTAATTTTTTATGAAACCAATGTAACTTAAAACAATGTAATGCTTTACAGAATGAACCTGTGGTCTCAAAGATATTGATTCTTATTTCAGTTATGTTTGCATTTTTGGAAAACCATTTATTCAGTAGTCCCTAATGGAACAGTAATGAGTAGGAATTTATAGTGGTTAGAAGGTCAAACTCTGAGACTAGACTCTCAGTTTGTCTTTTGGACCTGCCACCTATAGCTATGTGACTATGGGAAAGTGACTTCAACTTTCTGTATCTTAGTTTACTTATATAAAATATGAGGACATTTACAGTACCTGACACACAGTGTTTTAGTGAGGTATAAATGTACGCAGAGGTTGAAATAATGCAAATGGTAATTTTTTAGCCCATTTTACCTATTAATATTATTAGTAATTGTGATTATAGTGGTACTAGAAGGAGAAGAATCAGTGTTGCTGGTAGTATATGACAAATAATTAGCCAGATATTTCATCAGTCAAGGAATTATGGTGTACAGAGGGAACAAAACGTAAGTTGATCAATGCACACAACTCTTTGGTGCCACAGTAGAGGAAAGTATATATGTAATTAGGGACATTGTTAGAGAAGGGACTAGAAAAGAAGAAACACCCAGGGTGAGTTATGGAGTTCAAAAAGAAGTTAGCAACAAAGAAATAGAAAGGCAGTATCCTAGGCACACATAGATGCACATAAATGCAGGTGCCCTAGAAGACCATGGTAGACTGAGCTTACGCCTGTAGAATGCCTGTGGCGATCTACACTGTGGGCCACAGAAGTAGATAGATTTCAGATGATGAAAGGCTTTATGTTCCATGTGAAGGTGTTTGGATATTATATAGAAGCCTTTAGGAAAAAATCATCATGAAAATTTTATTTTGGGATGATAATAAAAAAATCATTCGCTATTATTGTGGACAATGGGTTAGGAGGCAGTGGGGTTTTGGAGACTGGAGTGGTAAGTAAGGTAGAAAGTTGCTGCATTATTCAGAAATAACCACAATGCCATGGAGAGAAGCAGGAGCAGTAAATAGAGTAGAGAGGTACTATTTGAAAACTTTCAACAGTGTTGAGAAGAGTAGAGAAGACATAAATGGAAATGAAAGATTATGAGGTTTGGGAACGTTTGCATCAATATGACTGTAGTTACAGGGAAGTTTAAATTACGGAAATACAAGAAGGAATATATAGTTGGCTACATGATACTAAATGTTAAATATTTTCAGGCTTAAAGCTGTTGTGGTAGTCAACCAGTGTCCTGAAATTAGAGAACATGCTAAATGGATAAAAAGAGAACTAAATAAATATTTTCACATATATTTATATGTCCACATATTGATTAATGCATATTTGTTGTGTGTATACTATGCATCAGATGCTATTCTAGGTAGTGAGGATATAACACAATATTATTTTGGGAAGCAAAATAGAAGGCAAATGTGCAAGTAAATGCATATGTTTCTAGCATTTTGTTGATTGTTTTATTTATATATGTTACAACACAAAAACAGTTTCGTGAAATGAATATTGACACCCCATTTTAAAGTTGAGGAATCCGAAGTTAAAAGCACTTAAATCATTTAAGATTAGGTAATTAACAAGTGGAGGAACTGAGACTGATATCTAATTAATCCAACTTCATATTTTATTTCTAAACAATCACACTACACTCTTGACAAAATTTATATAAACTAGACATACAACACATCCAAAATTGTATAGGAAAGCCCTTCTATCTAGGAGCATTTCTTATAGTGGAAGAAACGTTCCTCCACTATAAGAGTATTAACACATTAATTAGTACTGTACTCTTAAAGTGCCAACATTATGATGGGAATCAGACTTTAAAATATGAAATAGACTGGCTTTGCATGTAAGAAACATATAGTCTTTTATGGTTTAGAGCTCAACATTAAAAAAAATGACTGAAAGTTTTAAAAAGGCAGAAAAGGGGAGCTAAAAATGGTGAAGCAATTCTTCATCAAAAGCACAATCTTGCAATGTTCTGAACTTATTTTCACCTTCATAAACATAGATAGAATGTACCTCAGGTTTCAGCTTTTAGAGACTTTGATTATTTTGAAGAAAGTAAAGAGATGCAATGGCTTTCCCACTTGGTACCCTTTACATGAAAACTTTTAAAATGTATGGCTCAAAGTAATGACAGATCAGAAGGGTATCGCCTTATCATGAGCACCTAAGAGGCCAGCGAAGTCTTTTGACAAGGCTAACTGCTCTCCTGCTGCCTTTATCTACAGTGCATAAGTCAGACTTACTTGGGGACTTGACATTCAGGAATCAGTTCTTACTGAGGACAGCTGACATTTCAGTTGTGTTCATGAACTGAACTTTGGTAAACCTGAGACATTAATATTTATTCTGTGGGACAGATATATATATATATATATATATATATATATATATATATATATATATATATACACACACACACACACACATATATATAAATTTTCAAAGCAGCAATAATTTCTTATATATGTAGTAATTTTATAAATAAGCAAACACATCTTTTTCAGCTTTCTAAAACATCTTTAAAAATGACTTAAGATAATGGTAATTTAACTTGAATAGCTTTTGAATGCAATATGAAGTCATCCTTTCCTTATGATTGCTTGATTCTGAGTTTCAAATGCATCTTTATATATAATTGTGAATTCAAATTTCTTTCACCGATGAAATATGAAGTAAATTACATGAAGCCTGTATAAAGTATAATTAAACAATTTATACTATCAAGAATATTATTTCAGTTAATGAAGATTTTAAGCAATGCACAGAATGGTACTTCAACAGCAAAACATAATCTTGTTTTGTGTTTAGAAGAATGGAAGCTATGCAATAACATAAAGGTTAGCATGTGAGGTTTTGGTGCCAGAGTGTCTGGGTTGAAATGCTAGCTCCACCATTTACTACATGTGGGGCATTGGGAAAGCACTTCACTTAATTTTTGCCTCAGTTTCTTCATCTATAAAAATGTACTTTTTTCTTAGCATTGTTGTAGATATAAATATTTTAAAGAGACACTTCATTCAAAGTATTTAGCATACTGCTTGGCATATAGTTAGCATTCAGTAAACATTACTATTTATCCAGTCCATTCCCACAGAAAGATTTGAGAGGAGTTAGGGCCAATGATGCAGTGAGTTGTACAGCTTTATTTTCTCCCTGCCAAAAATAAGATGGATCCTGAAGATGGCTTTTCCTGGAAGAACCACTGTGATATCTTCAGGAATTTTCAGAGTTGGTTGACATTATGCTGGTAGCTTGAAATCAGCCATGAAGGGAGCATTTTTATTTTACCAATCAGCGCTGAAAGGCAATTGGTAAGTATTTACCAGGATGACACTGGAGTTAGCTTTATTACGCAAGTCAGCAGTTTTCTTCTGCTGTGACCTACTGGAGAAATGTAAAGGATCCTTAGAGAGAGATTATAGAAATTGTGTAAAGATTATGCAGAGAATTTAATTCATCAAAAAAAAAAAGAAAAAGAAAATTGCAAATTTGACAGTTTCCGATACTGTTAAATGTTTACCTACAACACGACCCAGAACTTCCACCGTTAGCCATCATCACTGAAAAGATGAACACATATGTCCACAAAAGGAATTGCATAAGAATTCTCTAGCAACATTATTCATCATACCTGCAAACAGAGAACTCTCACCAGAAAGCATGTAAATAAATTGTGTTATAAATGAAAACTACAGAGTAGTAAAAAGAAGTAAACCATTGATAGAACAAAATGCAAGAATCTCTCAAACATAGAGCTGATTGAAAAAGCCAGACCCTTCACCCACCCCCAAAACAGGAGTGTCTAGCATATGGCTTTATTTACATAAAGTTTGAGAGCAGACAAAATTAACCTATGGTGACAGAAATCAGAACAGTGGTAGCCTTTGGTGGTGGGGTGATTGACTAGAAAGGCACATGACAGGAATCTCTAGGGAGAAATGGGCATTGGCTACATGGGTATTAATATTTATCAAAACTTCTCAAACTGTACCTGAAGATCTGTCCATTTTACTATACATGAGTTATGTCTCAAGAAATACATTTCAAAGGAAATGCTGATTAACAATGATATAGATAAAGAACAAATTTGATACATAGATAGATAGATGAAACGAAGTCAACATATACGTATAATCTCCATTAGTTTGTTTTCCTAAACTAAATATGTTGTATCCTAATTTATATATTGTGCCTCAAGGAACATGAGACATGGTTAATGCTGCTGCAATGTTTCTCATGCATATCTTAATAAAGGTAAAATTAGCACATTAATAAAATGCACTGGTCTTAGGTGATGTGAAGAAATAAACCTCTTTTTACATTTGCTCTATTTAATTTGATGTCTAAAAAGAATAGCTTCTTACATTTTTTTCTGCAGTTGTAAGAGGCGCACTAGTACATAGCTAAATCACTACCATACCACTTATATTTGTGCATTTAGCTCACGCTATAATCTGATTTAACTATTTTTGGGCCAACTCTTTTCATTAGTTATGTATTAAGATTTGTGCAATTTCTAATGAAATACACAAAAAACCTGTTATATATCTCATATTAAGATTCTAGAATTTTTGTTAATTTCCAAATCTTAATAAGGAGAAAAATGCATATTAAATTCTTGTTTTAATATATATTAAATGTAATCTTTCCATAAGATGTAGGTGAATCAACTTCAGCAAATCATATTCACAGATAAAGTAAATGAGATAAAGATGAAGTAAAACGAGATTTGCAAGATGAAATAGGACTATTAAATTGCATCTCATTTACATATGGTATATTTCATGTGCTTTTTTGTAAGCAGGTTTAATCACAGATTATATAGTATTATGTCTAACTGACAAAAAAATCTACAATTTAAGGTAGAATAAATAATTTTTGCTTAAAGGATTTGTGATTACAACTGTGTTTTCTAAGGAAGGAATTATCCTTAATCATTTGATTTATATGCCAATATTGCAGACAAGACGTGTTTTTATGCTTTTGCAAATTGTCTGTGGAAGAAAAACTAAACTAAAAATTTTATTCATTTTAATTTTATGATAAATATTTAGCAATTACTTTTGCATTGATCATGTGGAATGTGGTTTACCTTCTGAAATAAATGACTTGGTTTAGCCACCCAATGACTAGGAGCTCAGTTAAGGGTACACATTAACTTATTTTTTGTGTGCTTTTATTCTTATTGGCTTTTCTCCAACAGTGTTGAACTTTAACTGAGTCATGATTTCCTGAAAAATAAAACAGGTACGGAACACTCCACCTTGCTCCCTCCTCACCCTGCTCTCCCTCTTGCCTTTTGTGTTCTAGGAAACAGCCTACTGCAAAAATCAACCATCCCTTATGACTTAGATTAATGGATGACCCCCTTGTCTATGAATCACAATGTTAGCCACAGACTCTAAAAATTCCATTTCTTTATCTCATAAATGATTAGCTGAACAATTTTGCTATTGACCAATATGGAAAAATGCTGGGTAACCTAACTTTACCAAAATTTAGGCAGTTTTTTCCAGATTCCTCAACTTTGGTCTCTCTTTTACAAGTCCCTCCTGAGAATCAGCTAACCTTAGGGAAAAAAAATTTTTCGATCAACTGATTACACCACTAGCTCATCTCACTCCTCCATATCCAGTTCTTTCTAGCCTTGTTTACTCTTCCCTATAAATAAAATTTAATTCTGTTTATCCTTTCAGAGCTTTGCAGATCTTATGTTCCGAGCGTTTTTTCTGTTGTAATAGTTCTCCTACCTCTATTGCAGTAGTATTTTCCTTTCTGTACCTATGCCTGGCTTTATTTTTAAATCAATCACCACTTTTTAAATTATGGTCAGTTCTGACTTATGAAAAATTGTTACAGACAATAGTCATGAAAACCCACCTGCCCAAATCATAAATAGATTTAGGATCACTCCCAAATGTTGATGGTTGTGTATGGATTTTATCAGAATAATCATTCAGTCTTCATTTTAATGCTGGCCTAGAGCTCAAAGCACTCAATTTTACCCAATTTACTATTATAACTATATGGAAAAGCTAATTAAGTATCAAAAAATTGGAGTAGAAAAAGAAGCAAGCTCATCTCATTTTGCATTCTAGTGCAGTATTCTGGTTTAAATATGTACCTCGGGAAAGCTAATTTGCTTCACTTGTGGAGAGGAAAATTTTAGCTATAGTTGGAGGCCAATCTGTGGAGATAAGGTGTGCAACTTAGGGAGGAAGACAGCGAGCCTTCAAGTACACCTGGACAATCTATTCATTATTATATCCTGAGTGTCTAGACCAGGGCATGACACATAGTGAATGCTAACTCAGTATTTATAGAATAAATGTGTTATACCTTTGACACAAGCACACTTTATTTTTTATTTTTCTTTATTCAAAAGCTATGGTGTCAGTTCCTGGTCTAAGAATGACAAAAGAGAATATACATATTTATTTATTGAAGAGAGACAAGAGATATGAAAATGGGAAATGATAGGTACATGCCTTTATATCAACTCACTTTGCAGTCTGTCTATATTTTATACTTAGTCATAATGAGATGAAGTTTTGAGTGACATTATTTTCTGGTCATTTATAGATTTATTTTGAATCTATAGAATGATATTGTCATTTAATTTAATAAATATATAAACTGATCATATGCTAGTGATTTGTGAGTTAGTAAACATAAGTTCCAAAAGTTCTATCCAATTTGAATAAAAATTTTTAAAAATAGAGTCAAATTCAAAAAGTTGAGAACCATAATCTTGACTTTGAAAAAGTTCTCAAACAATATAGAAAAGTCATTGTCAGATGTAATACTGGCCATTCTTGGTCTCCTTCCCATTTCAGTTTGCATTCTTTATTTACATTTATATTTGTATATTACAGAACATAGAAAATTTTTATAATATTATTCAGAAAAGTTACATTTCTGAATGTTAGATTTTAAATTTTAATTTAACTTCATTGACATAGTCTTCATTGACATCTACTTGACCTACAAAGACTTCTTTATGTAATCTTTTTCTTTTCTATTTTCTCCCACATTGTACTGGATCAGACAGTGTTCCCCCAAAATTCATGCTACTTGGAACCTCAGAATGTGACCATCTTTGCCGTCTTTGGAAATAGAGTATGCCCAAGTAGACATGTTAACATGAGGTCATCCTGTATTAGGATGAGTCCTAAATCTAATATGACTGGTGTTCTTATAAGAACAGGGAAATTTGGATATTGAAATGCATGCACACAGGGTAGTAAGCCACGTGGACAGAGATGGAGCAGAGATTAAAGTGATGCATCATCTAGAAGCCAGAGAACACCAAGGATCACCATTAACCACAAAAAGCCAGAGGGGGCAAGGAAGGATTCTTTCCTTGAGTCTTAAGAGAAAGTATGCCCCTGCTGAAACCTTGATTCTGGACTTCTAGACTCCAAACTTGTGTGAGAATAAATCTCTGCTGTTTTTAGCCACCCATTTGTGGTACTTTCTTACAGCAGTCACGAGAAGTGATTACATACCCCATACTCAAAAGAACCCTCATGTGGGGGTAGGTGTTTAGAAAAGCAATTTTGTCAAGATGAACAAAATGAGAGAACTCCAGGAATTCTCAGAGTACGGTATACATCTAAGAGCAGATAGTGAGGAAGTTTCATCTCTGAATAATGACATTATTAATTTCTTCTAGTAAAGGGGAGCAGTGTTTTTTTAATAGTGTCTGTATTAAATGAAGTAATGATACTTCCTGAAACATATCCAAAATATGTGATGACTTAAAATGATTAAAACAATATTTCTCACTCATGTAACTGTTTGAAAGCAAGAGTTCCTGATTAGAAGCCCAGCCCCCTTCCAGTGGAGATTCAGGGACCCAGGGTCCACCCATTGTTTAGCTCCAATATCTTCAACATGTGGCTTCAAATTTACCATGGAAGGGTAAATATGCAGGAATGGGAAGTTTTTAACGGGTTAAATTTGAAAGGGAATACATTGTCTCTACCCACATTTCATGGCCAGAACCCATGTTGCATTGGCACAGAGAGAACTGTAGTCCGTAAACACATACCCTAGAGGTAGAGAAAGTGCATTCGGTGAAGAATTAGCCAGTCTCTGACACAGGGATACAATTCATTTTAATACACAGTTACTGAGTAATTATGATGGGCAAGATATTAGGACACTGCCTATAATTTAACATTCAAAATAATTTAAGCAAAGTTTGAAGGACTCATTTTATAAAATATTAAACATAAGATTGCTATTGCATGTTCTATTTTCTATAAGTATTTAGATTTTACATTGTAATTTAACTTCATTGACATATTCTTGATATTTAAAGTTATACCACTTGTATTTGGTATACTTTTCAATTATCTTCATAAAAATTTTCTGAAAATTAAAAAATAAATATCGCCTTAATACAGATAAAAGAGAGACTAAGCAATATGTAAATGTGTACTCAATTCCAACCCGTAACCACACCAGTCATATTAAACTTTTATAAAAATCAGAAAAGCAAGGATAAAGAGAATGGGAGGTTTGGAGTCTCCTGAGATAACTATTTGAAAGAACTTCAGAGTAAACTGCAAATTTGAAAGAACTGTTTACAATAGCTACTGTAGATGCCATTACAAAAAAAGTATCTTTCTGTAGTATGTGGTAATATTAGCATAGGATTAAATAGTCTTGAACTTCAAAACCACTCTTTTTATTAATACCTTTGTTTCAATCATAGGCATAGTATTTGTAAAATAAATTATCTTTTGGTTTATGAAAGTAAAAACTGTTGACAACATTCTCAGTAATTTATACTCTTCAAATGTGGTGTTGAGGATTTCAGAGAGGTGACTTTAAACATTAGCTAATCTGGAACCAAGATATACTGAGAAGTCAGCCCCTGCACTATTTGGACATAAAAAGAACTGAACTTAGCAGGGTGTTAATACAGTGTGACATTATTATTGTTTCGATCTCTGGCTCTAAAATGAAGAGTTTACCTTTGGAATGTTTATTTTCACAGTGTTTTGATCAATGGACTTGTATTTGGCTGTCCTGGAACAAAGGGCGTTGAACAATTTCTCTCTCTCTCTCTCTGTAAATTGCTTTTCAGCCCCTTTAGTTTAGAAAAAGTTATGTTTTGTATGGAAGTGAAAAGCTGAAGAATTCATGGATACATGTTAGTATCATATCTATAATAGAAAATAAAACATATTTTACTAAAACTAAAGGAAGGCTGGGTTAAATTTGTTATTGAAGGGACAACCTTGAAATAAATGATAATTATGCACTAACTTTTCTAAAAATCCAGTGTGCCTAACAAATACATAGTATGGTGGGTGCTATGGTCTGAGCATTTGTGTGTCCCCAGGATTCCTATCACTCTACCCCCCAAGGTGAAGTATTAAGAGGTAGGGTCTTTGGGGAAGTGATTATGAGAGTGGAGCCTCATGAACAGGATTAGTGCCTTTAGAAGAGACTCCCTCGCCCCCCAGCCCAGGCTGGGCACTATGGCTCACGCCTGTAATCCCAGCAATTTGGGAGGCCAAGGTGGTTGGACCACCTGAGGTCAGGAGTTCAAGGCCAGCCAGGCTAACATGGTAAAACCCTGCCTCTTCTAAAAATACAGCAATTAGTCAGGCATGGTGGCACACGTTATAGTCCTAGCTACTTGGGAGTCTGAGGAAGGAAATCCCTTGAATCCATGTGGTGGAGGTTGCAGTGAACTGTGATTGTACCACTACATTCAAGCCTGGGTGACAAAGCAGGATTCTGCCCACCGCCTCCCACCACCCCCCTCAAAAAAAACAAGGCCTCAGAGGAGGCTTGCCCCTTCCACCACCACAGGAAGATGCAGCGAGAAGGTGCCACCTGTGAGAAGAAACTGGCCTCATCAGACACCAAATCTGCTGGTCTCTTATTATGGGACGTTCCAGCCTCCAGAACTGTGAGAAATACATTTTTGTTATTTATAACCTACCCAGTTTATGGCACTTTGTTACAGCAGCCCTAAGGCACTAAGGCAATGGGTAGAAAGTGTTACGATTATCCCATTTCAGGCTTATGATAACTGTAAGTACCTATCCTGATGCATGCTGAAATTTCGTATCATGAAGTGTCAGATTCTAAAGCTGGAATTCTTAGTAAAAGTAGTTTGAGACAATGGGAATCATAATGATCCAAAATAGGAATGTTGTAATTCTTGTTATCTATTGACAAACAAATGGACAATATGTTGTCTGTTGTACCTTGCAATATAAACCATGTATCTAACATAATTGTGCATTATGGGATTTGGTATGGAAAATTCAGGATGTTAGAATGGGTTGTTAACTTTTTCTCTTCTAATAGAATCAGTAATATCCTATAATAAAGATAGACTTGGGTTGAAATTGGCTCATCTGAAAGAAAAGTCACATTTTTGCTCCTGGTCAATCTTTCAGGATGGCTGCGATTTTAATAACCTGGGGCCTTGTAAGGATGAAAAAGCTAAATTATTTAACACAAAGCTTATTAGTGTAAGCAGAGTTGAGGAAGCCAGAACTAAAATTGGCAATAAGATTGAGATTTGAGAGAAGCCTGATTCCCACAGGCCCTTCCCATGAATCTCCTATTATGTGCTGCCAGACAGATACAGGAGATAATTACTTTTATTGTGTAAGTGCAGATAGCAGGGACAAGAGCAGATTAACTATTCCTCACCATCCAAACCGTTGTCTAAAATTGTTGAAGGCAGATGCCTCGGTGGACATCATTAAACTGAGGTCTAGGGAACTGAGCATATAACAGAAACTGTTACTAGGAAACAGATTCTCCTAATTTCATCCCTAGAATCAGGAACCATGACCCAAAACAATATCTGGCTTTATTTATCAGTGTCTGCAGTTAAGAGATTGTGATTAGCAATACAACACCCCTTCACGCCTGCTGTCTTTGCACTCAGATGAAGACACATCCACACAAATCAGCAGGAAGTGAGATGATAAAGAGCTTTAGAAACCCAGATATGCTTTATTTCAAATTCCCTTTTCAGATGCGCTAGTGGATAACATAAAATAAGGCATTCCTCTTAGAGGCCACAACCAAAAGCCATGGGAAGTGGGGTGGGAGTAATGGACAAAAATTATCTTTCCGGAAAAATATCTAGGACTCATTCTACTTTTAGGGCAAAATGTTCATACTGTTCTTTTGAGTGAGATATGAGCTATGAAACAATGACCACTTTGCTTTATTTCTAATTATTTCCTTTATCCAATGAGTTTAGTACTGTTTTACTGTTTTAATCCTTCATTTATTCTCCAAACAACATGGAGACCCATCCTATGAGTACTTGAAAAGACCACATTTTATCAGAAGATGTATCCAGTGACAAGATGAAACTTTGAGGAAGGGATGAGTGGTATGCACATTGTCAGGGACATTTTTGGAAATGTATGTATGGGAAGGAGGCTATATGTGGAATTTTAAACCTAATTTTCAAAAATGCAAAATTGTAGCTCTCCTACAAATATTAAAATTTGTATTTTAATTTTAAAATATTAAAAATTGTATTTTCAATAAGTTATTCAACATATCAATAAATAAGGGTAATAGTAAGATATTTAAGATAGGTCCAAAGAGCATTTTGTGTTTTCATAAGCAATTGCTGAGTTTGCTGAGTTTGACATAAAACTGTCAATGACCTATAAGTTCACAAACAGTAACCTTTGTTTTTGTTACCAGACAGAAGTTATTTACATCTCTATCGGACAAAAATCCACAACTTGACATAACAGTTGATTAAATCTTTGAGCAATAGTAAACAATGAATTGAACAAAGTCCATTTCCTTAAGTTTTAGGAGGGTTGGGGTCACTATAGGATGCTGAAGAAACACATTACTTTTTGGGGAGAATGATTTCAAGGTTTTCATTTTTTAAAAATATCTTTGTCTCAATCATGGGCATAGTATGTGTAGACTGAATTATCTGTTAGTTTATGAAAGTAAAAGCTGCTACAGTGTTCTCCAAAAGTTGTCACTAAATTTTAAAGGCATTTGCACTTGGTCTGGAAATTCAGAGGTATATCTGACCCTAACTTAATTGTTGTCCTGGTGTGGATGATCTGTTTTTCAAACTGAAAGCCTTTCAGAACTATTATTTTCCTCCTTAAAGTTCTGAAATAAAATTCTCAGTAATGTATTGTTTACACTCATCCTGTTGGCCCTTCTTTATATTATTTGAAATTAAAGACCTCTGTGTCCATCCAGGGAAATTCTGGGTTATAAAAAAATTATTTCTTCTTTTTTTGTTTGTTTGTTTTTTTGGTCTCACTTTCTGAGTCACATAGTACAATTTCTGGTTTGATTTTTCTCTGCCTAAATGTGTTTATGTGGTTAATTTATCATTATTCTTCAACAAATTTTGCACTCCAGGAGAAAAATTACATGTCTGATTGTGGACCACTGTAATTCCAGTGTGAAATATTATGAGCATGTTGAATGAATTAATTAATATATTACACATGGGGGAAAAAGTGATTTTCTTTCTTCATCCTCTTGTCCAGCATTTGTTCTCTTCCTCTTAAAATAAATGCACCCTTATGGTTAGTGATTATTTTCTTAAGCCTTGCAGTCCTTTTTAATATACTGCTTGTATTTTTATTTGTTAATATGGAAATATTTGTTTAGTAGCTCTCACATGAGTCTTGTCTGAATATTCTTTGTATTCCAAACTCTGATCACAGTGTTATCCTTGTTGTTCTTTTAAACTGCTCTCATTTTTTTCCTCTAAACAAGGTATGATTGACCCCTTCTTTCCACAACTTCTGCAAAGAATTCTTCATTGGCCCGTCCTAAACAGGCTTTATCATCATATAGTCTAATTTCAATCCAAAAACATCCTCTTTGATCATCTGTTAGGACACTTATAACAATGTTTATCATCACATAGTGAAATTTCAATCCAAGAACATCCTCTTTGATCATCTGACACAACAACGTGCAGCTGCCATTTGCACTTTTCTGAATTCTGATTATATTGTGCAATTATCACATGCATGTGTTGATTCTACATGTCCTTCGACCAAGAAGTGCTGCTGCGGTACAAATCTAAAACTCGATGGGACCTTATAATTAATGAATTGTTGCTTTAATTGAGAAAATTAAACTCTGTTGAAATTATATATCTCATTTAAGCCTCTTAATGAGGAATCTGAAATTCAGGGAATTTAAGCAAACTTCTCAATATCACTCAGTAAATAAGTGACTGAACCAGCTTATTCATGCAAGTATTTTTGGTATGGATACCTATTTTAGACTCCAAATTTGACTGTGCCACTCACCTCCCTACCTAAATTTTTCACTTGCTCCCTATCACGTAAAAGAGTAAACCAAAATTCATAAGCATGGTGCATAAGCCCTTCCATGAATTTTCCCCTTTTTATGGATACTGCTTCATTTCTGGCTATTTTATACCACAAACTTCTTGAAAATGCCTCAGGCAATATATCATTTCACAGTTCTATTCTTTTATTCATGGAGTTTCCTTTGGCAGAAATGCCAGCTCCACATTTTTCTTTAACCTTTATAGTTCTCTTTCTTCAAGTCTCTGCTCATGGCTGTTCTTGGTGCTTTCTAAGAATATCTGGGTGATCTAAGTGCTCCTCTTCCGTGCTCTACAGCGCGCTGAAGAGCCGCCATGTTATGTGTACTCTCTTACATAGGAATCAGTGATATTTTATCCTGGCTCTCCCACTGGCATGTAAAGTATTTGAGGGGAGAACTTTTATTTTCATTATTTCAGTGTTATTATTTCACCATGTCTGCCATGTAACTGGTGTAAAGTAAATATCATATTGAACTAATTTTTAAAGTAAAACTTAAGACAAGAAAAGGAGGACTGGATCTTTCCAGGGAAAAAGCACACTGAATCATATGTGAGTATAGTTAATTTACATAGTAATGAGATGTGGAGGGGTCCTGCTGTGGGAGGGAGGAACACTGTTTTCAAAATTTTAGAGAATACCAAAAATTGTAAAGTGACATAATATTGTTAATAATAATAACGACATTCACTAAACATTCTGTCTGTTCCAGGTTAAGATTAGGAAAATATATAAAATAATATATTTCTTACAATAGCTATATAACAGAGGCACAATGAAGATGCCAATTTTTAAGTGAGAAAATATTAAGAAAATTGACTAATGAACATGATGGCTCACACCTGTAATCCTAACACTTTGGGAGGCTGAGGTGGGAGGATTGCTTAAGGCCAGGAATTCAAAACCAGCCTTGAACCCATAGGGAGACCTGTCTCTACAAAAAATAATTTAAAAAATGAGCCTGTTGTGGTGGGGAGTGCCTGCAGTTTCAGCTACTACAGGGGCTGAGGTGGGAGGATCCTCTGAGCCCAGGAGTTTGAGTATGCAATGAGCAGTGATCACGCCAATGCACTCCAGCCTGGGTGACAGAGTAAGACCCTGTCTTTAAAAAAAGGAAAACAAAAGAGAAAATTGGCAAATTATGAACATTTAGTAAATTATGAAAATGGAGATCAAAGTACTGCAGTGTGCCCCCAGATTCCCTGAATATAACCACAACATTACAACTTTAAGTGTCTCCGTTTACAGGTAGGATTAAAAGAGACTCACAGCATCATGAAAATAACCTGAACAAATCAGGTAAGAAGAGTATTCCCAGAGATCAAAACAAAACTAACAGGATCATTTCCAGAAGTTCTACATTTCATGTTCAAAAACTATTACAACTGAGGACTTGATGTTTTCTTAGACAATTGAGAGAATTGTTACAACAAGTATTACCACAAGAGGGCATTTTAATAGTTCAATGGAGTTCTGGGAGAAGGAACTTCATTTTGGAAGTCAGTGGGAGTAAATCCACTGAAGGTGAGTGTGAGTCTTCATTATTCGGTTGCTTAACAGCTTAACCTTCTTATTAGAACTGGTGAATCTGCATATTTTAAATTTTGGCAGGTGACTAAACCTCCTACTGTTAAGCCTGAAAATACCTGCTCCTCTGCAAACTAAGGCATGGGCTGATGGCATTCCCTTGAGCAATCTGATACAAGCAGCTAAACTTTTAAATTTGGTGATAGTGACAGAAGGAATCAGGGAGAATGTTTTCTAGTAGTAAACCTGCATTCAAGGGAAGTAATAGAAATAATACCAGCCATGGAATCATTGCTGGAATACTGGCCCTGTAGCCTGCAACCTCCAGCTATCAGTAGCCACAACTCACTGGTTTGTTTCTGTTGCGTGATTGAAATTTTGGTTCAGCCTCTTGATCTCATTTTTCATTCCCATATTTTGAATATATTTGTACACTCTACGTGGATGTTGTGTGCGGCAATGTTATTTTAATTAATTCGTTTCCTTTAAAAAAATCAATCTGAACTTATTATCACTGCTAAGAGTAAGAACCTTAACCAACATAGTTGCAGAAATGAACAGATCATCTAGAAAATTGGGGAATCAGGAATTGATCTTCTAGTTTGCATAAGATTAAAGGAAGAAAAGAAAGAACTCTAGCCAATATTATAAGCTGGGACTATGGTAGCCCATTGTGTGCACTGACAAATGTGAAATTAAAATTTAACTGTGAGTAGTCATAAAGTAAAGATTTTGGAGAATTGAGTTGTTACTGGCATAAAAAAGTATGAAAGGCACCCGGAAAGGTAATTGCTTCTAATGGAACCAGTTAACTTATGAAAAGAGATAGACTCCAATTCCTAGCTATACAACTCAAGGCATGGGCTGAATTTCAGGATTTTATGTGTGTACTAAAATAATTTGAGCCTCTTGTAGTTATTTGGCAGAGATAACTGGTTAAAAACTAAAACCAATCTAAACTAAAAAACCCTCAAAATGTGATTAAGGTTGCTGTATCCCTGGGTCCAGTCAGAGAAAAGCAAATTAGGACAAAACACTTCAGCTATTTTATTAGCAAACACTTATTATAAGGAATAAATAAAAAGGTATTGGAAATTCTGTGGTCTTGGAAGGCTGAGGAGATCCTGATTTGACAAAGAACTAAGTGCAGGAAGGAACCACCACCACTAGGTCTGGAAGAACAGAAGGAAGATGTGATTGCTAAAACCTGGAAGCTTGCAAGAGGAACCCCTGCAAAAGATCCACTCTAACTTCTGAGGGATTGCTGGTGCCTTATTAGTGCTGGTATCTCAGAAGGTCAGAAGACAATTCCCTTGAAGCTAAGATTCAGACATGTATAAAGTTTAGCTGGGTCTATTATCTTTGATGGGGGACAATGAGGTTGATTTGGGGAGGGTTAAAAAACAGCTAGAAATTTGAAGAAAATGCAGTTGCTTGGTGAAAAACCATCAAGATGATTCACAGGAGAAAGGAAGGACAAGTTGCTTCAATTACTATTTTTTCTTTCATAGCCTCTCACTCACATTCCCTATGGATGAAAAATACTATTGTGAAAACTGTTGGAACAAGAAGCTTCTAGTATTATAAAACAGACTATAAAAAGGTGGGAAAGAAAGAAAAAAGTGAGTCAATAAGTATATCAAAAATGCTCCTATCACTGTCAAAGAATTACAAATCAAAACAAGCAAACAGCAACCTGCTATTCACAAATTGAGCTATGATTCAAACAATGATAAAATGCACTGTTGACAGTGTTTGTATAGCGTTTAATGTAGGAAATTACTATTTTACTCCAAGCTTTTTGTTTAGCTGTTATCAGAATGGAATGACAAAAAGTTGGGAGTGTAATAGTGATTCTGCATATTAATCACCTACATATACACTTTCAGTGAATAATAGGCAGTTTTTGTAATTTTTTTCTAATCCTATGTTACTTCTAATTTGTGTTTATTGAAAAGTAATTTTATGTCTGTAAAATTTTAGAAAATCGGACTTGTAAAAATATTCAGTATAGACAAGAACAAAATAAAATACTTTCAAAAAAAATAAAGTGAATGTGGAACTGTGAGACAATAGTTCAATATCCAGCATATATGATGATTTACAATAGTTGTTGAATTTACCAGCTCTTGAATATGAAAATTAATTGATCAGTAAAGAATTGGGACCTAAGAACTAGAATGTAGCAAATTTGTGGAGCTAGGGAATACCTTTCACTGACAACCCCCCTTTGCTCTTGGCCTTTTTGGATTTGAAGGTGGGATAATATTCATTTAAGTTTTCTTCTCCTATTCACTCACCAAATGATCCAAAAGTCTACTATCCTTGCTAGTGAGTAAGAACCTTAACCGACATAGATGCTGAAATGAACAGGTCATCTAGAAAACTGGGGAATTAGGAATTGATCTTCTAGTTATCATTAGATTTAAAGAAGTAAAAAAATAAATCTAGCCAATATTATAGGCTGAGACTATTGCTAACATCAAATAAGCTCCAGCTGATTCAACACCTGAAGCAAACAACTCTTAAGAGGTGTTGGGAATATCTGTGGCAGAATGGGTTGTTTTATGGAAGATATAGCAAGCCTCATTCTTAGCATCATGTCTTTTAAAATAAATTCTTGTTACTGAGATCAAAAAGAAAATTTAAACATTGTAAAGGGACAATAATTGATTAGGCAAAACTTTAATAAGATTATCGGATCATTAGAGCAGTTATTATCGTACATCCAAAGCAATACATCACAGATGGGAAGTGGGAATTTGGAAGCAAGGATAGAGCAGCTGCTGAAGGAAAAAGTCAGTTGTGTGAGCAGTTGGGTCACGTTATAGAATGCTAAAATCTGTTTATTCCTGCCCTTCTCTCAACTCACACCTATCAGATAAGAAGATCACTGTGGCTGGGCGTGGTGGCTCACGCCTGTAATCCCAGCACTTTGGGAGGCCGAGGTGGGCAGATCACGAGGTCAGGAGATCGAGACCATCCTGGCTAACATGGTGAAACCCCGTCTCTACTAAAAATACAAAAAATTAGCCGGGCGTGGTGGCAGGCGCCCGTAGTCCCAGCTACTCGGAGGCTGAGACAGGAGAATGGTGTCAACCCGGGAGGCGGAGCTTGCAGTGAGCCGAGATCATGCCACTGCACTCCAGCGTGGGTGACAGAGCGAGACTCCATCCCAAAAAAAAAAAAAAAAAAAGAATATCACTGTGACTAAAAGAGAGTTAACAGCAACAACAAAAAAGAATGGGAACGCTTTTTAGATTAATCTATTATATTCTGTATTTGCTCTAGCCAAGAGTCATTATGCAATAATTTATCTGGATTCAGTTTGTTTATAAAAATAAATCCAATGTAGATTTGTTTTCAGAAAAATCTCAAAACAAATAACCAAACAAAGAGCTGTAATGTCAACTCCTGAGTCAATCCCTCAGCTCTCAAACCAGTACTAGAAAAAAAAAAAAGTTGCTAAATTCGTACAGCCCTCAAAATGAGACATTATGTCCAATTCTTCTCTCCATTTCCTTGAAGAACCATGGACCAGGGAGTTCCTCTTGAGAGCTGAGCTGGGACAGGATGACTGGCAAATTAAATAGATTATTCCACTACCAAGTAAAGAAGATACAATTTTTAATCCTTATTTGTAGGGAATACTCTACCACTAGTATAATATAATCATGCCCCTTTCTTTTTTTCTTTTTTTTCCAAAATGCACTTATTGTATTATAATTGTTTTAATGGCGGTGTAACATTTATCCATAAAATGTATGTCGTAGTAGAATTTTTTGTTTTTGTTTTTAATTTAGAGACAGTCTTGCTCTGTAGCTTAGGCTGGGGAGCAGTGGTAAAATCATAGCTGGCTGCAACCTCAAACTCCTGGGCTCAAGCGATCCTCCCTCCTCAGCCTCCTGAGTAGCTGGGACTGCATGCATGTGCCATGGCAACAGGCTAATTTTTGTATTTTTTGTAGGGACAGGGCCTCTCTATGTTGCCCAGATTGGTCCTGAACTCCTGGCCTCAAGCGATCTTCCTGCTGCAGCCTCCCAAGGCACAGGGATCATGGGCAAGAGGTGCCTGGTCCTTTAGTTTGTTTTTGTATCATCATTTCAGTCAATTGAACAAGAAATTTTCTTTGACTTTAGAGCAATTTGACCAAGGCCCTTTTAACTGACCAGCTTCCCCAACATATGGATTAGTGGAATAGGATTGCTATGAGGATTAAATGTAATAAAGCAGTTAGAATACATAGTGTTTTATCAATCTTATGCAGTAAGTTAATGATATTTGCTTACAGAAATGGAGTACATGTATACCCCCACATCCTCAATTTAGTCCTATTTTATTTTATTATTATTATTTTTCGAGACAGAGTTTCTCTCTTGTTGTCCAGGCTGGAGTGAAATGGTGAGATTTTGGCTCACTGCAACCCCTGCCTCCCCGGTTCAAGTGATTCTCCTGCCTCAGCCTCCCAAGTAGCTGGGATTACAGGCACCCGCCACCACGCCTGGCTAATTTTGTATTTTTAGTAGAGACAGGGTTTCTCCATGTTGGTCAGGCTGGTCTTGAACTCCCGACCTCAGGTGATTCACCTGCATTGGCCTCCCAAAGTGCTGGGATTACAGGCGTGAGCCACCGCACCCGGCCTTTAGTCCTATTTTAAACACATGAATTCCTGTCTACCATAACTGCATTATCTCTGATATCTATACCCCTCTGTCAGTATTTCTGCTACTATGACATTTCTGTCTGACAATGACTTACTAAATATAAGCTATAAATAAACAAAAAAAAGAAACAGGACTTACTTTTATATGGCAGATATTATCAGTACTGAGCCATCCTCCTGGCATAGGTATTTTAAATGAGATAAAAAATAATTCTATTTATTGATAAATGCCATTTATGATTGATAAATATATCATAGTTGTGTTATAATTTTGTTTGATATGGCCACTGCCTTGACATCCCTTTTTAGGCCTGAAAAGTTATTTGAAAGCTAATCATACCTCATCACCTTTGGTCTAGTTAAAACTTCCCCCTCCTTTTGTAGCTGTTTGATAGATGCCATGCTTATTTCTAAACACACTGACCCTAAACCCAGCACATCCTGCAGCTGCTGAGCAGGATTCAACCCAATGGTCAACATCAGAGTCTCGGCCCTCACCCCCCACCCACCCACTGGTTGAGTACCCCGCTGTTGCTGGATTTTTCCACCTGCCCAAGTGGCCACCCTGCTTCTCTCATAGATCAATGAGTAACAAAATGCTTCTGTGATTTCATGTCGTTTACTGTGCTGTCTCCTCATTGTGATTCACCTGACTGATGTACTTAAACCTGACTCTCCTCCCAGTCAGGGTTCTCCTGGAAGGTAGCTACCTTGGTATGAATACATTGGATATAGGTCAGACAAAAGCCCCAAGGGTGTCTGCCAATATAAAGGGAATCTTTGTCATGGGTTGGATACCTAGGTATTAGGCCATGCATCAGGATAAAGAAATGTCCCATGAAAGGCACACTGTAAACACCCACAAACACATCCTGTGGAGCCTGTCAGGACAGGCCTAGAATTTATAACCATTTTCCCGAGAGGGAGCTGAAGACCAAATGTAAAAACAAACAAACAAAAACAAGACCAGTTGCATCAGAGGTCAAATTTGACTGATCTGTTTAATATTCAAAAGGCTCAGGATATATAGTATTGCAATGTTACTATGTTTAAGACAGCAGATAAAGCATAAAGGATGAAATAAAAAACTTTTGACTCAACATAGAAAACTAAATCAATTCAGGTATTTAAAACATTTTTTAAAAATAGGCAATGGAACTGAACCACAATGCACCTTGTCCCTTTCTTATTATACATTGCACAGCCGACTTCTCAATAGCTGAGTCAATGTCTCAACACTATTTCTATTTCATCCACCCATTATCCCTATTGTATGGGCTTCTTTTCTAATATCCTGGCATATTTCTTTCTGCAGCCTTCACAATTTCTTTCTTGGAGGACAAAAGAGACTCAACATGAAGGAACAAAGCATACAGCAAGGGAATCAATATAGATAGATTTTGGTCACCAAAATACTGAACAGTAGGATATTAGCAAACCAGCAGTGAAAAATGGATATTGGGAAGGATTTTAAAAAAAAGGGAAGAAGAAGGAGAAACATTTAGCTGATGATATATAAAAAAGACTACTTTATAGAAGCAAAACTTGGGGCTCCTGATTAGGAAATATTGCCATCTAGTGTGAACTAATTTCACATGCAGTACTGTTGCAATGGAGTGTTGCCAGTACACTTTATTGAAGATGTAGGGGCCTACAACTATGGAATGTAGATTGATCATTAAATGCTGTATTGTTGAAAAAAAATCTCACTGATATAATACCACATTTTAGTTCATTTGTTTTCCACATAATATCATGAATAAAAAAGAGCATAAAATGAAATACCTTAATAATAAAAACATAATATTAAAACATGAGTGTACCTCAGACAGACTTTATCACTCTTGATATTTCACTGTTTTCTCCCTTTAATGACTTAGTTATGAGCCGTGCTGTGATTCTTTAATGTTACATTCATAAAAAGTATTTTCACACTTAATGAAAAAGAAGACTGTGTTTTAAAGTATGTTATTTCTTTTTCTATTATTTTACCAAATAGAATAAAATAAATGTTTAAAGGGCACTATTTTTGCCATCTATTCAGTAAAGACAAAAAAAAAACAATGCCTTCTTTCCTAAAAGTTAGTAAAGATTAGAATGCTGAAAATTCTTGGTGTGACTGACATTAGAGCAGATGGTATGAATCAATATTTCCTTTTTTTTAAAGATCTTTCTCTGGAAGTAGAAAGATACATGGTATGAATAAAATAAAATTCTATTTTTCTTACTTAAGACTTACAACTAGCTCATGTTAAGTATTTCTCAATTGCTTAATGATATGAATTCAAAATATATTACTTTTAATACTGAGCTAAACTGTCATGTTTAGATATATTTTTAAATATAAAATGTTCCAAAAAATGATGAAACATATTTTCAAATAAAAATAATATGAAAACATTGATCTTTGCATTTTAATGTTTTCTTTATGGATTTAATTCCTTTTGGATAAAAATTTAAAATGATTTTTTCACAAACTTTTAAAAACTATAAAAATCCCTTTATTTCACAATTAGTCTTAAAGAATAGCAGGTAATAGGATTTTTTATTGGCAATATCGTTATATTATTGATATATAATTTTTGTCTGTTTCTACAAAGAAATTTCCTTTTTAGTCAAGTTGTATATCTATTTTCAGAAATTAGTCTTTTATTTCTATTAGATTCTAAGATTTTCTTTTCATATTTGGTATTCCGCAGCTTCATTACTATGTGCCTAGAAGTAAATTGCATTTTTATTTATCTAGATCAGAGCTTCGTGAGATACTTCAGCCTCTGCAGTCTGAGAATTAACAGTGACGTGGTGGCTGGCAATAATATGATGAGTTGGCTTACTCAACCCAGAGCCCCCACCACCATCACACACACAGAAGGTCTTCAAAAGCTTTTGTACTGAATTTAGGTTTCAATATTAGATGCATTTTACTTTGAAGTCAGGGAGTATCATACCTCTAGTTTTATTATTTTTGCTAAAGATTGCTTTGGCTATTCAGAGTCTTTTGTGATTCTATAGGAATATTAAGCTGTTTTTTTTCTATTTTTGGGAAAAATGTCATTGGAATTGTGATAGTGATTTCATTAAATTGGTAGATTGTTTTGGGTGGTATAGACATTTTAACAATATTAATTATTCCAGTCAATGGACAGGGATATATTTCCATTTATTTGTGCATTCTGCACTGATTTTCATCCGTGTTTTATGGTTTTGAGTGCAAAGGTCTTTTACCTCCTTGGTTAAATTTATTCCTAAGTATTTTATTTTTATAGCTGCTGAAATGGGATTGTTTTCTTGATTTATTTTCTGATAGTTTGCTGTTGGTATAGAAAGACTATTGATTTTGGTTTTTCTATATTGATTTCGTACCCTGCAACTTTACTGAGTAAGCTTATTAACTTTAATAATTTTTTTTTGGTAGAGACTTCAGGGTTTTCTATGTATAACATCATGTTATCTGTAAACAGAAAAAATTTAACTTCTTCCTTTCCAATCTGGATGCCTTTTATTTCTTTCTCTTGACTAATTGCTCTAGTTAGGACTTCCAGTATTATTTTGAATAGAAAGAATAGGCATCTTTGTCTTGTTCCTGAGCTTAAAGGAAAAGGTTTCAACATTTTTCTATTGATTATGATGGTTGCTGTGAGTTTGTCATATATGGCCTTTATTGTATTGAGGTGCATTCCTTCTGTGCCTAATTTGTTGAGGGATTTTATTGGGAAACAATGTTGAATGTATCAGATATTTTCTGCATCTATCGATATAATCATTTGATTTTTGTTTTTCATCTTGTTGAAGCAGTTTGTCACATTTATAGATTTCTATATGTTGAACCATCCTTGCATCCCTGGGATGTATCCCAGTTGAACATGGTGAATGATCATTTTAACATGCTATTGAATTCAGTTCACTAGTATTGTGTAGAGGATTTTTGCATCTGTGTTCATCAGCGATATTGACCTGTAGTTTTCTCTGTTTGTATGGTTCTTATCTGGCTTTGGAATCAGGATAATGATGGCCTCATAAAATTATTTTGGAAGTATTCTTTCTACAATTTTTTGGAGGAGTTTGAATATTGATATTCGTTCTTTATTAAATGTCAAGTGGAATTCAGTGGTGAAGTAATCAGGTCCTGGGCTTTTCTTTGCTGGGAGACTTTTTATTGCTAATTCAATCTCCTTACTTGTTATTGGTCAGTTCAGATTTTCTATTTCTTTGTGATTCAGTCTTGGTAGTTTGTTTGTGTCTAGAAATTTATTCATTTACTTTATCCAGTTGTTGGTGTTCAATTGGTCATAATAGTCTGTTATAATTCTTTATACTTCTGTTTTATCAGTTCTAGTGGATTCTCTTTCACTTCTTATTGTATTTATTTGAGACTTCCTTCTTTTTTTTCTCAGTGTGTTTATTTTATCTTTCAAAAAAACCAACTCTTAGTTTCATTGATCTTTTCTATTGTTTTTGTACTCTCTGTTTCATTTATTTCTACTGTGATCTTTTTTATTTCCTTCTTTCTGCTAACTCTGGGCTTAATTTGTTCTTGTTTTTGTTTGTTTTAGTTGCTTGACTTATGACATTAGATAGTTTATCTGGAATATTTCTTATATTTTCGTGTACATCTTTATTGTACATGAAGTTCCCTCTTCAAACAGCTTTTGCTTCATCCCATAAATTTTGGCATATGTTTCCATTTCTGTTTATCTCAAGATACTTTTAAATATCCCCTTTAATTTCTTCATTGACCCATTAATTGCTCGGGAGCATGTTATTGAATTTTCTAAAATTTATCTGTTATTGAGTTCTAGTTTCATAACATTGTGGTCGGAAAAGATTCCTGATATGATTTTAATCTTTTAAAATTTGTTATAATTTGTTTTGCTGCCTCATATATGAATTATTCTAGAATATGTATCTACCTGACTTCAAAATATACTAAAAAGCTATAGTAATAAAAACAGCAAGGTACTAACATAGAAACAGATACACAGACCAGTGGCATAGAATAGAGGGTCCTGAAATAAATTCACCCATTTATGGTCAATTTATTTTTTGGCAAATGTGCCAAGAACACATAATGAGGATAGGCCAGTCACTTCAATAAATGGTTTAGGGCAAGAAGCTATCCACATGCAGAAGAATGAAACTAGGCTGTTATCTCAAACCATATACAAAACTAAACTCAAGATAGATTAAGGGCTAAAATATAAGACCTGAAATTGTGAAACTACTAGAAGAAACATAGGGGGAACACTCCATGACATTGTTCTGGGCAATGGTTATTTGAATATGAACCCCAAAGCACAGGCAACAAAAGCAAAAATAGACAAATAGGGTCACATCAAACTAAAAAGATTCTGCACCACAAAGGAAATAATCAACAGAGCGAAGAGACAACCTACATCATGAGAGAAAATATTTGCAAACCACACATCAGATATGGGGTTAATATTCATAAAAGTAACTCAAACAACTCAGTAATAAGAAAACAAATAACCTAAGCACCTAAATAAACATTTCTCAAAAGCAGACATACACATGATCAACAGGTATAGGAAAAGATGCCCAAAATTCTTGTCAGAGTAATGCAAATCAAAATCACAATATTTCACCTCATACAGTCTTAGAATGGTTGTTACCAAAAGATGAAAGGTAAGTATTGGAGCAGATATGGAGCAAAGGAATTCCTTGCACACTGTTGGTGGGAATGCAAATTAGTAAAGCCATTATGGAAAACAGAACAGAGGTTCCTCAAAAAATTAAAAATAGAATTATCATATACAACAGCAATTTAACTATGGGGTATATATCCTAAGTATTTGAAATTAATATGTTGTGGAGATATTTGCACTCCCCTGTTTATTGCTGCATTACTCACAACTACCAAGATATGGATTTAAACTGTCAACAGGAGGATGGATAAAGAAAATGTGATATAGATACACAATGGAATACTATTTAGCCTTACAAATGAAATAAATTTTGTCATTAAGACAACATGAATGAACCTGGAGGATATAATGTTAAATGAAATAAGCGATGCACAGAAAGACAAACAGTGCATGATCTTATTTATATGTAATGTCTGAAAAAGTTGAACTCAACAGAGAGCAGAATGGTAATTACTAGGAACTAGGGGTTAGGGCTTTGTGGAGGTTTTGGTAAAAGAACACAAAATTTGTTAGCTAGGAATAATAACTTCAAAAGATCTATTTTATAATTATAATTAATAACAATGTATTATATTATTGAAATTTGTTAAGAGGGTAGATTTTAATTGTTTTCATTCTCCCTCAAAGGATAAGCATATAAAGTAATGCATATGTTAAGTAGTTCAATTTAGCCATTCCAGAATACATACATGTTTCAAAGCATCATGTTGTACACAATAAATATATGCAAGTATTATGTGATAATCTAAAAAAATGAAAAACGGAAAAAGGCAGTAGATAAGATCCAGTCAAGAGACAAATCCTAGTGTATAAAATGTACATATAATATTTAATGAAAAAGTAAAAATAAAGTGGAAAAATATGCATTTCAAATATCTCTGCAGAGTTTAGGCCATTATTCTTTTCACTTTTATTGGGCCATATTATGAACAGAAATTTTAAATTTTTATGTAGTTAAAATATTCAATATTCTCCCCAATGTCTCAGTTTCTTCATTTGTAACGTGTAACTAATACTTCCTACTTCACAAAGTGGTGATGGTTCCATGAAATAATTCATGAAAAGCACTTAGCACATAAATGATAAGCTTTTGGCTTACGAAAAGTGCTCAGTAAATATTTGTTGTTATTATTGTTTCCTTTATTATGCAAAGAGATGTTGGGTAAAGGCAAAATAAACCTCTGTCTGAGACAGGAGAATGAAATGACTCTACTGGCTTACAGTTCTAACTTTGCCATATATCAATCTCCAGAAAGCTATGAGAATATTTCTGGGCTCTCTATTCTGCTCTAATATCACCCCTACTTTAATTGCTAACTTAATTCATGTAATTATATGATAAATCTTGACATTTAGTAGAGGATATCATCTCACCTTCAACATTTTTCCCTCAGTATTGTCTTAGCAAATTGTACCATTTTGCTTTTTCATGTAAATTTTAAAATAAAAATGTTCATTTCCATGAAAAATCTATAGATGCAATTGTAAGAAATTTGTAATGTAGAGGTATAGATAATCCATCTTTTTGTTTCAGTTCTGATCAAAAATGCACAAAATGAAAAAAATTTTACTTAGCATTGTAATACTATGCAGCTTTCTGGATGCCAAGAGGCAGTTGCATTGAGGGCAATGCAGTTAACTGCAGCTTTTTGATCTTGGCTTCCTTAGCTCTTGATTTCCACTGTAAAGTGTTCCTCTCCTGTAACACAACCCTCGGTAAGTTGTCACTTGGCCTTCTTCACATCACCCTATGTGAATTCAAGCTTGAGGAACTTACACCAATGATGATACTCTGATACTCTGGCTACTGCTATTGCCGTGGGAAATAAGGTCCTTTTTCTCTGACACAGGAATCATGTGTCTTCTGCCACTACTCAAGAAACTAGAATGCTGATTTGTCAACTTGAGTAAAATCTCAGACATTTCACCTATCTTTACACATTAATGTATATTCATTGCTATATTTCCAGTATTGATCTCAGTGACAATACTATTGTTCCTTGCTTTAAATTCTAATATATTGTTAATTTATATTTTATTCCTTGCTTTTCACTCTGCTTTAATATCCTTTATGAACTTCTGGAAAATTCTCATGAAAACCTTGTTTGAAATATTACATTTGCTCCATCTTCCCAATAATTTTTTGTAACTCTTTTTTTACACACATATGGACACATTTATCCTATTTTCCTGGTCTCTTAATTTCTCTTAATTATCATCATGTTTTTCTATTTCACTTGTTACATTTTATAATACTCTTAGTTCACCAATCCTCTCTTCCTCCGTACATATTTTTAAATTAATCTACCTCAGTGGGCTTTACATTAGAAAGTCTACACTTCTCTCCTATAGAAATATAATTTTGGTTCTTTTTCACATCTGCTTATACTTTTTCATATTACATTTTTATATTTCTCATTCTTTAAAGTTTTAATTATTTTAAATTTACCCATTTTTAAATATCCACCTTCAGATTGAAATACTATTAACTCAACTTCTTGAACTTTGATCATTTTTATTCTTTATGCTTATTCTCAATTATAGTTGATGGCTTTCTATTTGGTAATTCTGAATAACATGTTAGTAGGTCTGTGTTCTCTTCTGTAACACTTATGTAGATCCATCTTTTTTTTCTCATGTTGTTTTACTCCAAATCCCTATTTTACAGACTCAACATCTCTCCCATAGCATCTTTCAGCAGTTTTCAGATGAAAGTAACATATCCAGCTAAACTATTAATTTAAAATGATAAAATTACCTTTTTAACCAGTTCTTATGATCTGTTTACCTCTGGGAAGGAGAGCATGGGGTGCTGCCTTTTCTGCTTGGAATACTACTCTTTATAACACAACGCATTCTTGCTCAATTTTTAAGACTCATGTCAATATCAAGTTTCTAAGTCATTCCCCTACCAAATCTCACAGAACACATTGTTCTCTCTAGCAGCAAACTCCAGGAACACATGCAAAATACACTGGCCCAGGAAAGTTCATTTGATTCTCAGGGTTCAAGGTTGTTTTTTTTTTTTGACAGAATCTATCTCTGTCACAGGGTGGAGTGCAGTGGTGTGATCTTGGCTAACTGCAACCTCCACCTCCCGGATTCAAATAATTCTACTGCCTCAGCCTCCAGAGTAGCTGGGATTACAGGCCACCTCCACAACACCTGGCTAATTTTTGTATTTTTAGTAGCAATGGGGCTTCACCATTTTGGCCAGGTTGGTCTCGAACTCCTAAACCTCAAGTGATCTGCCCCTCTCAGCCTCCCAAAGTGCTGGGATTGCAAGCTTGAGCCATGGTGCTTGGCTAAGGTCCAAGGCTTTTATGGATGACTAGTCACATGGACACATTCTGCTACACAACTATTTAGACTATTACAGAGCAGCAAATTTTCCTCTAGATCAGCTTTTATTTTAGTTTTTAATGAAGATATTAGTATCTTTGAGGAAAATTTTACATTATACCTAAATATTACTTTAATATTGACCCTTTATATTTCATATCACTACATATACATATTTTGTATTAAATACATTCTGAACTTCTTGAATTTTTACTAATAATTTCTAGGTTGTTTTTCATACATGTGCTGTTAATCATTTATAACTAGTTCCTCCAGAAGCCTTTGTATGACATTCCCCTTACTACTTGGGTTGCTATTTACCCAGGTTTATTCATTTGCTACCTTAATAAAGAATAACTATTCTATTTCACAATTGCTGGCAAATATATTCTAAAGATCCATTTAAGAACAATTGGAATTAAGCTGTAACAGCACTAGGTGAATTACCACTGGGACTAAGACTGAAAATTGCTCATCTTGTTTGTTCATTTTTTCATTCAATATGTATTTATTGGTCAACTACTGTGTGGCCATTGCTGTTCTAAACCCCGGGAATAGAAAATCGAGATGTTCTCATTAATTTGCAGTGTATTTGATTAAGCAACACAAGTGATATTTCTGTGCAGGCAGCAATTATGCTACCTCTTGCATCAACTTTTGGAGTATTGTGTTCTTTTGATTACTTGATCCATTACAATGGAAAAAAAATGAGTGTTAATACACATCTGAAGGACAGAAAGTTTTTTCAACAAAGTTAATTCTTGACTGAACCTTAGATTTTGTTTTCAGATGAAAGTAACATATCCGGCTAAACCATTAATTTAAAATGATATAATTACCTTTTTAACCAGTTCTTATGATCTGTTTACCTCTGGGAAGGAGAGCTTGGGGTTGCTGCCTTTTCTGCTTGGAATACTACTCTTTATAACACAATGCATTCTTGCTCAATTTTTAAGACTCATGTCAATATCAAATCTTTTATGTAGCCAATGGATCCCCTCCACCATCCTCAGAGAAGTAACCATCTCTCTCGTGCTATTACTGTACCATATATTCACTTGTAAAATACACCAGACATATTATATCACATTTTTCCAAATCTGTGTTCTTTCTGATAGGTTGGGAACTGCTAGAATAGTTATAATTAGTGATTTACCCATTTTTATTTCTCTGAAGCACAAGGTATAGTATCTAATATTTTTGCTCATATAGTAAGATTTTGTTTTATTCTAAATTAATGAGTGAGTGCCATAAAAATGTTGAAATACTTTCTAGAAGTTTTCTTCCCTCTCTGGCCTTCATTGATATAACCTCGCTTAATATGTTTTATTTCTCTTTTTAAAAAAACATTTGAATGTTTGTTTTAGTAATCTAAGTTATTAAAACTTCATTCTATAATGGAAAATACTTGAGGGCTTTTGTTTGTTTTAGTTTTTTGTATAGAAAGCAGAATCTTATCAATGTGTTGAGGTCATATGATCCTTCTACTGACTAAAGCATTATTTTTATTACAAGGAACTAGAATGGAATAAATGTGTCCTACAGAGGCTGGAATAAAATGTTTTAAATGTCTAAGCATTTCTACTTTAAATGTCTAAGCTCTTCAAAAATAATGGATATCAAAGATAGGATGAGGGGTATTAAATGAAGGACCCCAGCTAGTAAATTTTTCGGTAACTTGGTCTCTTAAAATACGTGAGATAACATATGTTTACTGTCATGCATAAGCTGTACTTTTTTAAATCAGCTTTTTAGATGCTTTACAACATTCACTGGATAATGGATATTGTTATATCTTTTAGTAAATCTTTTTCTTCAAAAAGGTCCTTTTCAGTTCTAGTGATGGTTTTTATGCATGCTTATTTGTGCACTATGAATAGAGGGATGTGAGCATGGAGTAAGAGGTTTCCAATGAGAAAAAGACATTCAGGAACTGATGGCAAGTTCATGTGGAACAGAGGCCCTTCCTACTAAGAGGTTCATCCTCCAGGGTGAGCCTGAAGTTTCTGGTGTTCTCACAATTCAAGAATGCAAAAGCTCTTTAAATTCGGGTCTATAACCCCACCTTTCCCAGAACATTTAAAAAGGGAGTGTCCACAATGTGCAGGGTTATACTTAGTGATGAGTGTCATCAATACTTCAAGAAAAGTAGTCAGAACAGATGATTTGCTCATCAAGGATTGCACATACATCAATGAGTGGACTGAGAGTCAGAAGTGACAACCTTGCTTTGTTATCATAAATGATTATTAACAGATTGGTTGAGTAGAACTCTCCATGACATGCAATAAGGCCAAATGTAGAAATGTTACACAAAGGTTATTGTAGAATAATCTGGAAGTTTGTAAATGACACTAATAGACCCAGCTGACATTTTCAAAAGATTGGTATTTTTCATAATATATATCATAAAAATATAATAATGATAGGTTTCATATTTTACTGAGTATATTTTCTGTTAAACAAATTTTTTGCATGTTTAAATTTATTTTTTATATTAATGTTGGACATAGCCTTAGAATCCAAAGAAAATAGACCCTGTTTTCTTGATACCTAGATTATACTGCCCTTAAAGCTCTCTTTTTACTATATACTTTGTAGGGGGTTTGTTTTATAAGAGACCTGATTACAGTAGCTTAAGCAAATACAGATTTATTGATATCATGCAAAAATAAATCTATAAGTGAATACACTAAGACTGGAATTCTGCCTCAATAATGACATGAAGGAGCTGGTCTCCTTCTACCTTTTGATACTTTTTTCTTAACAATGACTATTAAACTGTTATTTATCACCAGAATTCCAGGAAAGAAGAAGGAGAAGCCATGGAGTTGGCCCCAGTTGACCTCTGCTTTCCTTTCTTGAGTCAGATGTGTCCCATGGACACTCTCAGGTTCAAAGCAGTTTTTTAAAAAGTTTAAGATTTTTAAAGTTTTCTTGTTTCTATTTTAAAGGCATGGTAAAAAAGCCATATGATGTTGAGTAAGCCAATTGTAGTATCTGTCATACTTTCTTCTGTAATACCAATATATTATTATTACCTCCAAGTTTCTGGCTGACTTTTCTTTTCTACAATGACTGATTTCCCTGGATTAAACTGATAAATGAACATTAAAATAAATGACAAGAGAATGGGGTACATTTTAGGAAAGAAATCTACCAATGGCAGGCTTTGCATTGGTTGGGAAACCCATTTATGGCTTATACACTATCTGCCCTGAGGGGAAGAAAAAACATTAATGGCAGTAAAGAAGATATAAAGAATTTCTTGATTCATTCTGCCTCTTCCCTATGAAATTGGCTTCTCCTAACACAGCTCCAACCTTTGCCAACTATAACCTAAGGCAGCCAGAGGTTTTTTCTTTTCTCCTCTCAGTGAATCCTTATTTGTCTGCATCTATTAATGAGATACAATGAATGTGTAACATGACTGGGGATAGAGGAAAACGGACAGTGTTAATTTTGTGCTGTCATGTACAGTAGGTATTTGTCAAGAAGCATTCTATGTAGAAGATGGAGTCAACATGATTATCATGAGAGACAAATGCTATACACACACACACACACACACACACACACACACACACAAAATCATCCTTAAGTATTACCACACCCAGATAACCTAGCAAAAAAAAAATGATCCTGGTTTCTGAGAATCTGCATTAGATGAATGCCTTCCGGGGCCAGAAAATTTGCTACGGAGTGTGCATGTTGCACTCTAGAGCAATTCTAGTAATGAGTGGAATATATATGTAGCTAAAAACCCATAATACACCTGACTTTATGCTAGACACTGGCCTGGAAGTATGGCTTTCCAAATAAAGTTATATAAAAACAGAACTCTATGGTTTGTATACATCATAGTTCTAATCTAGAACTAAAAATCCAGAGTACACTA
Source organism: Homo sapiens (assembly GCF_000001405.40). Taxonomy (NCBI): domain Eukaryota; kingdom Metazoa; phylum Chordata; class Mammalia; order Primates; family Hominidae; genus Homo; species Homo sapiens. The sequence goes on along the minus strand of NC_000013.11, from coordinate 69,568,206 downwards.
AAGTCTACACCGCAAGGAGGTAGTGAAAAGTTACTGTAAAAAAATGTTGTGATAGGTAAATAAAGTTTTAAGTTTTAAGCCTATGCAGAATATCTATAAAAAGAGAATCAAATTACTTGCTTTATTATCTCTAAGCATCATACAATAGAGCTAGAAGAAACATATCATCTCTCCATCCACAGATATATTAAGAAACCTTGATATCCTGAATGTTCCTTTATTCTACTGGGTTGGGGATACTTACAAGTCATTTGTTTATGAAAGTCATAAATTTGTCATAAATTGACAGCCAAGAGATCACATATGGCCCACACATTTATTTTGTTTGATCTACCAAATGTAAAAAATTGAGCCAACATTTTTATTTCAAAAGACAGCAAATAAAAATCCACATTTATAATTTCTCAGTAGCTCTAGCTGCATTAATTTCACATTGTGCTTGTCAGCGCTAACTGGCATTGTGCAGTTCCAGTCTCCTGTAGATTGGCATGTGCTTTATCACACAGGTTGCTTCAGTTATTTATTTAACCTGCCTGGACCCTGCAGAAGCAGACCTGAATATTCAAAAATAAGATAGTCTAATGTGAGATTGGAATAGCCCGAAACTACACATGGAGGAGGTGGTTGGATGAGTGGGATTATTTTTCAGGATGTTCAGTACAATGGAATTAGAGTATAATATTAATAAAATCAGGTTATGAGTCATCAAGGACACAAAATTCTGCTCAATGGAAGTGGAGTACAATATTTGGTTTGTTTCATTTGTTCTCCCTCTCTCTTTATACACACGCACACACACACACATATATATATATAAAATATAGAAAGTTCAAGATATAAATATATAGAGAAAGATATATATATATATAAACAAAAATACACACACACACACACACACACTGAGGGAGAGAGAGGGGAGAGAGAGAGAGAGGGAGAGAGAACAAATAAACCAAATATACTGTATTAGATATTATATATAGTATATAGTACAGTATGTACATACTATATATAGTTTATATATAGTATATAAATGAAATTCATATATAGAGAGATTACATATTATGTATGTATACATATAGAGATTACATATATTATCTATATATAGAGAAATATATATATTCTTCCATGCAAATGCATTTTAATAGTGCATGTATCACTATAAAAAGGCCTTAGTCCTCTATTACAGTATCTACTATGAGCAGTAATTGCATCAGTATATGTGATGGTTAATTTTTTTTTTTTTTTTTGAGACGGAGTTTTGCTCTTGTTACCCAGGCTGGAGTGCAGTGGTGTGATCTCGGCTCACTGCAACCTCTGCCTTCCGGTTTCAAGCGATTCTCCTGCCTGAACCTGCCGAGTGGCTAGGATTACAGGCGCCCACCACCAAGCCCAGCTAATTGTTGTATTTTTAGTAGAGACGGGATCTCGAACTCCTGACCTCATGATCTGCCCACCTCGGCCTCCCAAAGTGCTTGAATTACAGGCGTGAGCCACCGCACCCGGCCGTGATGGTTAATTTTAAGTGCCAACTTCACTAGGTCATAGTACCTACTCTAATTAAAAAAAAAAAAAAGATCACCTCTAAAAGTCTTCTTATGCCACACTCCAGTCAACAGTCCTCATACCACATCTCCTCTGATTTCTACCACTTTAGATTTGTTCGTGTTTTTCAACTGACTATGAATGGAATCACTCAATATGTATTATTTTGTGTCTGGCTTCTTTCACTTAACATCGTATTTTTGAGACTCATGTCATTTGTTGCTTGTATCAGTAGCTAATTATTTTTAATTGCTGAATATTTTCTAACATACAAAATACCACAATACATTTACCCATTCTCTCCAAATATTTTGGTGGTTTTCTTTTTTCAGTCTTAGTAACTTTAGTCACACTTTTGAGTGTGAAATTGTGTGGTTTGGCTTTAATTTGAATTTCCCCGCTATCAAGTGATGTTAACTTGCCAAACAGCAGTAAATAATTGGTTTCAAACTTTGTCAATGTTGAGTAAATTTGAGTTTTGCTCTCACAATTAGAGTAAATTCTTAACCTTGAATATTAGATTTTTTTGTCATTAGGTGAATTATTATTTCTATGCCTCACTTTTGCTCTTCAAGTGTATCCATTTGGTGTACCATTGGAAAGCCTGAGATATTTAGAAACATTCTCTAATTGGTGAGGTTTAAACTATAAAATCTGTCCGTCCTGTAATAGGTAAGAAGCTGAAATCTTGGCCTAACTTTTTGTTTTCCTTGGCTATAATTTAATTTTTATTCTTATAGCTTTATATAGATAGATATATTTCTGTATTAGGGTCTCCAAAGTCAACATCAGGCTCACCGAATCACAAGGACTCAGGTAACTTAGAAAGCTTCTTATACTGACCTTTATGGTTGACTACAGCAAAAGGGTTCAGATTAAAATCAGCAAAAGGAAAAGTCACATGGGAAGAAATCTAAGAGAACTAGGTATAGACTTTCAGATGTCACCCAATGGAGTTGCACAGATGTGCTTCCCAGCAATAATGTGCGGCAATATGTTAGTAGTGCTGCCACCTAGGGAGCTTACTTGAGTCTTGCGGTCCTGGGTATTTTTGTGAGTCATTAGTGCAGGCATGAAGTGAATGGGTCACTGACCGCAGCTACTCAGATTCCAGTGCCCCCTCTCTAAAAACAGAAGAAAAACAAACAGGCACTCACCATAAATCATATTGTTAACATAAATTATCTGATTAAGTTGATACAGTGTGGCCCACAGACTCAGAAATGGAAAAACATTCTTATCAAGCAGAATAATCAAGGACTGTAGATCAAGCAGAAGTCAGTCATGCAGAGAACCTTTTTCTTAGGAGAATGCCGGGTTTGAGGAAACCAGACCTGCTGATCAAACTCTTTCCTCCATAATTTTAGATTCCATAAGAATTAACTAGTTGACATGTACACTTCAGCAGTTGTAAATCTATTCACAGAGTTGTATAAAAAACATGACAATCGAATTTTAAAAATCTTCATCATCCCAAGAAATAACTACGGCTCATTATGTAGGCATTGACCATTCCTGCTTCCCACTCACCAAAACAGCTTCCTATTGCTAATCTAATATCTGTCTGTACGGATCTGTAAGGGTCCCTTTGGTATTCTGGAAACTAGTTCTTTATCAGATATATGATTTGCAAATATTTTCTCAAGCTTCAGATTCTCTTTCCTTCTTTGGATAGTATCTTCTGATATAAATTTTTAAAATTTTGATGAAGCTCAATATGTTTAGTTTTTGTTTCCTCACTTGTACTTTGGTGTCATACTTAAGAAACCATTGCCTAATCTAAGGTCATGAAAATGAATGTTTATACTTCCTTCTTTAGATCTTATGTTTAGGCTTATGATGAACTTTGAGTTAATTGTTGTATTTGGAAAGACGTTTGGGTCCACACTCCTTCTTTTCCATGTGGATAGTCAGTTGTTCCAGCACCATTTTTTAAAAAGACTCTGCTTTCACCATAATTATCTTGACATCCTTGCCAAAAGTCAATTGGCCTTAAACATGAGAGTATATAGTCTATTTCAATATATTGATCCTCATGCTTATACCATATTATGTTTTTAGTTAATATTAGTTTAACTGACGAATCATACTTGTTTTACATTTATGGGGTACAATATGATGTTTTGATACATGTATACAATTTAAAATAACTAAAGCTAATTAGCATATCACCAACTTTCTTCCCTTTTTTTTGAGATGATCTATGTGAAATCAATTCTCCTAGTTATTTTAAAATATACAATACATTATTATTGACTTCAGTCACTCAGCTTTGCAATAGATCTCAAAATGCATTACTCCTCTCTGGCTGAAACACTGTACCCTTTGCCTAGAAACCCCTGTTCCCTGTCCTTTACAGCAACATGAATGGAGCTGGAGGTTATTATCCTATGCGAAGTAACACATGATGTCCTAAGTGACAGAATTCTTTTTTCTTTTTGAGGCTGAGTAGTATTCCATTGTATATAATATAGCATATTTTCTTTAGCCATTCATCCATTGACAGAGACATCGGTGGAGGAGCCATGATGATCTGAAATGCCTTCAGAGTGATCCTTCCATTGTCCTGATGAATACCATCTGACTTTCTACTATTTGTGCTAATCTTGGTATCAAATGTTTGCTTCTTCACACCCGTGGTATTTTCTCCTGCAGATACTTTTTTATTTTTATTTTATTTTTATCCTTTTTTAAATAAAAACCTTTATTTTAAATTCATAGGTACATGTACAGGTTTGTTACATAGATAAATTCTGTGTCATGGGACTTTGGTGTACAGGTTATTTCATCACACAGGTAATAAGCATAGTACCTGATATATAGTTTTTCAATCCTCACCCTCCCCCTACACTCCAACCTCATGTAGGCCCCAGGGTCTATTGTTCCTTACTTTGTATCTATGTGTACTCAGTGCTTAGCTCCCACTTATAGGTGATAGTATGTGGTATTTGCTTTTCTCTTCCGGTGTTACTTCGCATAGGATAATAACCTCCACCTCCATTCATGCTGCTGTAAAGGACATGATAGTTTTTATGGCTGCGTAGTATTTCATTGTGCATATGTACCACATTTTCTTTATCTAGTCTACTGTTGATGGGCATTTAGGTTGATTCCATATCTCTGCTATTGTGAATAGTGAAAATACACATGCATGTGTCTTTATGGTAGAAAAATTTATATTACTTTGGGTATATGCCCAATAATGGTATTTCTAGGTTGAATGGTACTTCTGTCTTAAGTTCTTTGAGAAATTGCTAAAATGCTTTCCATAATGGCTGAACTAATTTACTTTCCTACCAGCAGTGTATAAGAATTTCATTTTCTCCACAACCTTGCCAGCATTTGTTATTTTTTGACTTTTTAGTAATAGCCATTCTGACTCGTGTAAGATGGTATCTCATTGTGGTTGTGATTTGCATTTCTGTTATGATTAGTAAAGTTGAGCATTTTTCATATGCTTATTGGCCAAGTGTATGTCTTCTTTTGAAAAGTGTATGTTTGTATACTTTGCCCACTTTTTAATGGGGTTGCTTGATTTTTGCTTTTAAGTTCCTTATAGATTCTATATATTAGAATTTTGTCAGATGCATATTTTTAAATATTTTCTCCAATTCTGTAGGTTGTTTACTCAGTTGATATTTTCATTTGCGGTGAAGTAGCCCTTTAATTTAACTAGGTCTCAACTGTCAACTTTTGCTTTTGGTGTCTTCCTCATGAACACCACCCTGCTCTCTCTAGGTTCAACGGTCACCTTAAGGCTAAAGTCTCCTAGAGGAACATGGAGAGCGTTGGAGGATGAGCAACTCTGACCATGCTGCACTGCAACTGTTTCCATGCCAGACTCTCTAGGCTGTGCACAAGCTGGAATCTTGCTCCTGCCACCTATCTAAGCAGCTCTCCCTGCCAGCTTAAGTGTCTGTGGCAGTTGTGGGGTTTTCTGCTGCTAGATTCTGGAGGCAACTCCTCACCTGTTCAATTCACCTCTTCCCCAGGAGTCACTGGAGGCCAGGAACAAGTCTCCGTGCTCAGCCACCCAATGCAGAGTTCTCTGCTTCCTCTACCTTCAGCCCAGTGCCTATTTAATCCACTCTTAATTCCTTTCTTCAGAAGATCTGTTCAGAGTGTACCAGTCTTCCCAGTATCCCAGCCTCTCTGTGGAAGATGTTCTTCCTGTCTGCCTCTAGTTGGCCATTGTGAATCAGAACCCACTTTTTTTTTATTCATTACAATCTCGCCAGGCTGAGATTTTTCCAAATCTTTAAGTTCTGTTTCCCTTTTGATTATAAATTCTATCTTTAAGTCATTTCTCTTTTTTTTATTTACTAATAAGCTGTCAAGATAAGCCATGAAGCACCCTGAACACTTTGCTAAGAGATTTCTTCTGTCAAATATCCTAGTTCATTCCTCACAAATTCTGCCTTCCACAAGGCAGTAGAACATTATTAGACACAATTAGACCAAGTTATTTGCTATTTTATAACAAGGATGACATTTCCTTCCGTTTCCAAAACCTTGTTCCTTGTTTTTATCTAAGACCTCATGAGAATTGCCTTTACCATCCATATTTCTAAGAATATTCTGTTCATGACCACTTAGATAATTTTTAGAAAGATTTAGTCTCTCTCTACAGCTCTTCTCTCTTTCTGAGCTCTTACCATAATAGCCCTTTATGGTTCAGACTCTACCTATTACCTAGTTCTAAAGCTGATTCCACAGTTTTAGGTATTTGTTATAGCAGCATTCTACTTCTTGCTACAAATTTCAATCTTAGTATGTTTCTGCTGCTGTAACAAAATAATTCATAAATAATAGAAATTTATCACAGTTCTGGAGGCTAGGAGTTCAAGGTTGCCAGCAAATTAGATGTCTGGTGGATGTTTGCTTTCCGCTTCTAAGATGGTACCTTGTCCCTGTGTTGAAATGTTGGCCCACTGGAGTGGAGAAATGCTGTGCCCTCAAGTGGCTGAAGCGTGAAAGGGATTAACTCTGTTTGTCATGCCCTTTCTTATGAACACTAATCCCATTCATGAGAGCAAAGCTCTCATAGCCTAATAACCTTCTAAATGTCCTACCTCTTAATACTATCATCATGGGGGTTAAGTTCCAACATACAAATTTTGGAGCAATGCATACATTTAAACAATAACATAGACCAAGAAATAAACTAATGAAAACACTTAATTACAAGAACATAAGAAATTGAATGCAGTATAAGTAGTCCTCAATTATTTTTAGAGTCACTAAAGATTGAGCACACCTGAAATAAAATGAATTCCAAATCAAATTACAGCATTAGATTATACTTTGCATAATACCATGCATACTTATAGCATCTTTTGTTTTGCAGAGTAGAAAGAATTTCAACTTTGGTCTATTTCGATATATGGGACAGTAATTAGTGGCAGTATAATCAAGTCAGTTTTTTAATTTTAACAGTTTTCTCCTACATTCATTATGATGAATTACAAAGCAGGAAAGAAAGGTACGACTTTAATTTAGCTCTTGAATAGTTGGAATTTTTTAATCAACATAGCCATAGGGTGTCTAATTTTCTCCTTTTGGTATGATTCTTTTCTGTATTCAAAAACAATTGCAATTGATAATGGTTACGATAATAAAGGCCGCGTTTATTGAATTGTTACTCTGATCCAGGCTCTAAGCTATTAGTGTCATATTTTTGCATGCCTATTTTTTAAATCTCTCTTTCTCTTCCTTATTAATTTATGTCTAAACTCAGACTCTTCCTGCAATCAGAAGAGTGGCTGGTTTATAAATATGCCACAGTTATTAATAATAATATGAATTGTTTTAAGGAAAAAAGTAGCTAGTCTTATAACAGTGGCAAATCAAGTCTTATAAACTGAGGCAGCATCCAATAAAAATGAATTAATGTTTTGGTATATATTATAATATCATTAATGCAGGATGCTACATATCGTACTACCAAATCATTTTATTTTTTGATTGAAAACGTAATGCAGCTAGTGGTATAGCTAAGGATACACAACTAATTAATATAAAAGAAGTACTAGAACTCATAAACAATTCTAGGTTTAGTTGTATTTCCACTAAATATTTTAAATAATTGTTTTTTTGCATTTCTATATGAAATAATGTCTCTGACTGTATCAATATATAAAATATTTAAAATTGCAAACCTAGAATGATGAGAAATATCGGTCATTAGAAGTAACCATGGGTAGTTCGCTGCAAATAATACTGTGGGATTTAGGCATATAATAAAATATTGACCCCACATACACTATTCAATAAATTACATTAGATATTAAATACATTATTATAAAGTAGGCTTTGTGTTAGATAATTTTGCCTAACTTCCACTAATTTAAGTGTGCTGACCGTGTTTAACATAGGTTAAGCTATGATATTTAATATAAGTTAAGTGTGTTAATTTCATTTTTTACTTATGATATTTTCAACCTATGGTGGGTTCATTGGGATATAAACCCATCATAAGTGAGGAGCATCTGTATATATGTGTGTGTATATATGCATATATATGTAGGTGTGAATGTGTGTGTGTGTGTACATATATATAAACACACACATATAATCATAAATAATTTGGGATTATCTCAAGTATTTAAGGTTAACTTAAATTTAAAAAGAAACTTAAAAAGAAATATTTTATATGAGTCATCACATTAACAAATAAAAGAACACTATGTAATTATCCCAATAGATATGAGAAAAGTATTACAAATGTTTCAGGAAACTAGAGTTTAAGGAAAACTCAACCTACACCAATATTTATATCAAAAACCTACAGCCATTTTAAGGCCAGGTGTGGTTACAAGCTTGTAACCCCAGCACTTTGGGAGGCCAAGGTGGGCAGATCACTTGAGGCCAGGAGTTCGAGGCCAGCCTGGCCAACATGGTGAAGCCCCCATCTCTGCTAAAAATACAAAAAATTAGCAGGGTGTGGTGGCAAGTGCCTGTAATCCCAGCTGCTCAGGAGGCAGAGGCATGAGAATTGCTTGAACCTGGGAGGCAGAGGTTGAAGTAAGCCAAGATGGCACCATTGCACTCTAGCCTGGGCAACAGAGTGAGACTCTGTCTCAACAAAAACAAAAACAAAAACAAAACCCTATAGGCATTTTAATACTTATTGGAGAATTACTGTCCTGAATTTACCATCAAAAGCCCACCACCAATTACAAACAAAGCGCTCCCTTTGGCCAGTGTTGGAGGACAATTCTGCTTTTCCCTCCATAAGCCTTAAAGTAATTTCATAAGAGGACTTATGAACTACTTATGAACTATTAAAGTAGGGCCTGAGAAGTCCTTACTCTACTATAAGCTAAAAATTTACTCCCTATTTCATTTATCATTTGTAATGATCTTCAGAATGCCACCTATTATTCCTCTTGGGAGGTTATATAACTTGTATAAATGACATTATAGAATTCCCAATAATAAAATATTAATCATATTAATATAGAAGTTATATTTATAATCTCACATTAACAAATTCCCAAATAGGAATACAATATACAAATAAGGATTATTTTCTCTATATATTAAATCTACAGAGTTTATTCCAAAATTTTTGTTTTTCTAATTTCTTATTCTTTTAATCTCAGCTAGAGATTCTCATTTACTTATGTGCTGTAGTTAAGGATTCATTTGGCCGAAGCAAACTCAACTGTGTTCTAACACAATGGGTGTATTAGACAGGCTTCTGCAGAGGAGGAGAACCAATAAGATGTATGTATGTATGTATAGAAAAACATTGGGGGCGTGCTATTGTGAAGGTTGACAAGTTCAAAATCTGCAAAGTGGGTCAGCTGACTGGAGATCAGGGCAGGTCTGATGCTGCACTTTAAGGCTGAAGCCCATTCAGGTGAAGATCCAGAGGAAAACCTATGCTGCAGTTCAAGTCTAAAAGTCATGTGCAGGCAGAATTCCATCTTGCTCAGGGTAGTCATTTTGTCATTGTTGTTGTTCTAACAGGCCTTCATCTGATTGGACGAGGTCCACCCATATTAAGTACAATCTACTCTACTCCAAGTCCGCCAATGTAAATTTTAGTCCTATCCAAAAATACCCTCACAGCAACATCCAGAATAATTCATGGAAACATATCTAAGCACTGTGGCCCAGTTAAGCTGATCCCTAAAATTAAGTATCTCAACTTCACCCCTTGCCAACTTGACACCAATACACATTGAAGTAAATACAATAAATAACAAGGTCATACTTTCACCTAACATGATACGGCTGTCTTGAGTCCAACCAAAAATGCACTAACCCTTTCCCCAGAAGAAGATAAAAAGTCTCTGGGTAAGCTCTACTCTTCTTGATGTCCTAGAACTTAAATACTATGTTATAAAGTTAACAATATTTAAATACTGATATAAAATTAACATAACTAATGCTACATGGTAAATAGATAATAAATAGAAGAAAATAAATATATTATAAAAACACATAATCATAATACAATAAAGTAGTGTATTACTCCATTTTCACACTGCTATAAAGATATACCCGAGACTGGGTTACTTATAAAGCGAAGATGTTTAATTGACTCACAGTTCCACATGACTGGGGAGGCCTCAGGAAACTTACAGTCATGGCAGAAGGTGAAGGGGAAGCAAGAACCTTCTTCACATGGAAGCAGGAGACAGAAATGTATGAGAGCCCAGGAAAAACTATCATTTATAAAACCATCAGATCTTATGAGAATTCACTCACTATCAAGAGAACAGCATGGGGAAAAAGTTCCCATAAACCAATCACTTCCCACCAGGTTCTTCCCTTAACACCTCAGGATTACAATTGAAGATGAGATTTGAGTGGGGACAAAGCTAGAGCATATCAGGTAGAAATGGTCATGACAATTACAGTCCTGTTTTTATAGCTGGTCACATGCCATCGCTGGTGTTTATAACTACTGTCTTCCACTACCCATTCTATAATCCCTGTGCCTTCAGCAAGCACCTCAGCTGCTTGTGTTTCTTTACCTTGTGGGGTAACCTAGTCTGGAGCATGAGTAGGACTCTACCTGAATTGGGTTGTTATAGTGTTCCATTCACTATAATTACAGGACATGGTCATACTGAGGGACTTCCTAAGGAATCTCTTGTATTCCTAGCATACTCTTCTTGATCTCCATTGTAGCATAGTAGTCCAGTTTCCCTTGGGTAATCTATATCAGTTACTCTCTTCAGCACAGTAACTGTCTTCTTTGCCTGTTGATTCCAGAAACCTGAAGAGTCCAAAGTTGCTACATGTTAGTCTTATATTCCAGTCTAATGGAATCATTGTGTCTCCTGGTAGAAACATTCTTCTCTTAGGAGCTGAGATTTCTAGTCAACAAGAGAATAAAGTTATGAAGGCAAGAAGCAAAAGCTTTCACACTACAGGTATGGTGAGTGCTCTCACTTCCATTTTCATGCTTTTGTTTCTGGACCTGTGAATCCTATTGATAGATGTAGGAGGTATTTAAGAGAGGATCCCCGGAGAATCTCCAACCCACCCCACAAGTGTTTGTGTCAGATGCTATTGTGCAGATGAGGCAGCTGGCTCAGGGGCTTGTCTGGGTGTGCCCAAAACAGACTCGGGGGCCCGCCTGCACAATGGGAAAGTGGGGTGGAGCCACTGGGAATTCATGCCTTGTGCAGGAAGGAGGAGCCTGGCCTCTGCAGCTCCTCCTCCCTGCACAAGGTGGCCTGGTATTCAATCTGTGAGTGGGAGCCTGTTGGCAGGACTCCCTCTTTTTTTTTTTTTTCTCTAAGAGCTTTCTTTTAATGAATTTCGTTCTCCTCACCTTTCAATGTGTTCACATGCCTAAATTTTCCTGGTTGTGTGACAAAAACCTGGATTTTATCTGAACAAAGGAGCAAAAAATCCTGCATCACTGTGAGAGAAACAACACAATGTATTAGATGCTGACTCACAGTGTATACAGCCTCTTAGGTAACCTTGCCCACTCTGCAAAGTAGTGCCATCTAGCTGGCACTGAGCTTTCAAAAGGTCATTCTACAGATTTAAATGCTAATATCGTCCACAAATACCCTCACAGAAACTTCCAGAATAATGTTTGACCCCCATATCCAAGCACTGTGGCCAAGCCAAATAGACACATAAATTAACCATTATTACAATGGATATAATTCATTTGCATCTTCAACTGAACAAGGAGTAATCTTCCATCAGTTAAGTGATTGTCGTGAAGAGGAGAAGGAGTACTATCTACCATCATATATTCTAAGTGGAATTTATATTTCCTTGTCTACTTGCTATATTTAGAAGTTTATCATGATGGATGTAAGTCATCAAGCCTGAAAGCAGTTTACTTCCTGATCCAATATATTTTAAATTTCATAATTTTGTATGCTATCAAGTTCTGAACTAATTATGCAAGCTATCTGGCTAAAACTTTGTTTCTCTCTTGTAACAATACACCATGCAGTGGCAGCAGACTATCCTCAAAGCAAACTTGCATTCTCTATAGTGTCAGTCACATACCCGACATGACCCTGAGGCATTTCAGTCCTGTGTATCATTGGCTGCTGTTAAAGCTTGTTGCTCTGAAATTTCTTCAACTTATTAAATGAGCTTAAGTAAAAACTTGTTTTAAGAAAGATGTTTTTGCACAAACCCATTTTTTTTCAGTTAGAGGTTTACTTTCCATTGATATCTGAACTGAAGTAATATTTACTTTTATAGAGACAATGCTCACAAACCTTAGGAAGGAACAATAATTGTTGCTTCATTTTTCCCCAAATACTCATTTCCTCAGATTTTTGCATGTTTCTAGACATTCATGACTTCACCTTTTCAATGACAGTATCCATGTTTCCTTCTTTTCCTGTGGTGAAAAGAAAGATTCAAAATCGAAATTCTGTGTGGTACAAATTACATCGTTCAATAGTTATTGATGACATAGTATGTTCAGGCACTCTTTAAGCAATTGGGGTTCCTCAGTGATCAAGATAGATATGGATTTTTGCCCACAGGGGCCCTTCCACTTTATTCAGGCGAGTTCAGCTGAATATTTTAACATTTTAATCTTCTTCATTATTTCTTTTTTCTACCATATCTAAATCTTTTGAGAACAGTGAAAATATGGAGATATTTTCATAAAAACAAAAGCATTTTTATCAGCAACAGAATGTCAATTTATAAAGAAGAACAATACCACAGAAAAAAATTGAAATGCAAAAGAATGGTGAAGATATAACATTGACAAAAAGGAAAAAATGTAATATAAAAATTATCCATATAAAGTTTTTGAAATGATGATAATAATAACATACTGTAAATAATGCATATTTTGAAGGAATAAAAAATTTTAGAACTAAAGCATTGGAAAAAGTATTAGTAAGTCAGCAAGAGACCGATTTTTGTTACATCCCCTAAAATATTTCCATTAGTAAAGTAAAGGAGTAAATTAATATTAAACTCTAAAGTCATAATAGTAGAATATTAAGGGTAATTATTAAAAGAAAAAACTAGAAGAAGAAAATGGGGAATTTAGAAGCTATAGAAAAAATAAAAGATAAAGTATCAATCAAAAGAAAAACATTTTTAAAAGCATATATATGCTGGGGGCAGTGGCTCATGTCTGTAACCCCAGCACTTTGGGAGGTCAAGCGTATGAGGATCACTTGAGCCCAGGAGTTTAATATTAGCCTGGGCAAGATGGGGAGTCTCCATCTATAGAAAAAAAAAATAGCCAGGCATTGTGACACATGCCTGTAGTCCCAGCAACTCAAGAGGCTGAGGTCAGAGGATCTCTTGAGCCCAGGAGCTTGAGGCTCCAGTGTGCCATGATTGCACCACTGGTCTCCAGGCTAGGTGACAGAGCGAGACTCCGTCTCTAAAATAATTAAAAATAAACTTTAAAAAATAATAAAAATGAGACAAATAGAAAGAACAAAATTAGATGTAATAAAAATAAATTAAAATCACAGCTGTCAAAATAAATGTAATTTGATTAAACTGTCAGTTCAAGCAAAGATTTTTTCAGATTGGATTAAAGATCCAGCTGTAAACGGACACATCTATGAGTAAGACTGAAAATAAAAGAATGGAAAAAAGTCATAGCAACAAACCAATAATCTAAAGCAAGATGGGGTAGCTATAAAAATATAAAACAGTGGGTGAGAAAATGAGAATGCATAATTATAAAATATGTCACTATATAATATTATAAAATAAACTGTTGGGGAAATATAATTTTAAAAATAATTTTGTTTCACTCCAGAAATCTTCTCTACAAAGGTAGTAAAGAAAGAAAATACATTTATTATTGAATAAGCATTAAACCATACGCTGATGCCCACCAGAGACAATCCACTAAGATATCACAAAGACAGAATGAAATCTCTTTTTTATATAGCCAAGTAGATACATTGCATCCATATGGTCAAGATAAACTATGACTAATTCTCTAGTAAGAGGACTTGACAGCACCATTTGTTACACTTCATTCAGTCCAACATTACCTGATAATTGGGTGACCATCTGTGTTATCTAATTGGCCTGATTCAAAGGAAAAACAAAGTCGTCATGTCTTTATGCCAAGAGGTAGTTTTGTGACTTAGAGCAAGGCATTCACAACAGTTAGGCTCCCACCCTCTCACAGAATGGGAGTTAGGGGTGTTATTTATTTTCCTGGATGTATGCATTTCAAAAACATGGCTTCCATGTCCTTGAGAAAGGCATTTCTGGGTAATAAAGCTAACAAAGTCTTTGTTTTCTAAGGGATTATATACATTTAAAGGAGAAGAGAAAGTAGTAGAATTACAAGTTTTCTAAATTTGTAATTGTAAAATGACAAAAGTATTCTAAAGAAGGAAGGAAAATCTTTTTTAAAAAATTTATTCTAAGAAAAAGAAAAATGGGATACATGTGCAGAACCAGCAGGTGTGTTACATAGGTATATGTGTGCCATGGTGGTTTGCTGCACCTATTGACCTGCCCTTTAAGTTCCCTCGCCTCACTCCCACCCCACAAACAGGCCCTTGTGTGTGCTGTTTCCCTCTCTGTGTCCATGTATTCTCAATGTTCACCTCCCACTTATGAGTGAGAACATGCACTGTTTGGTTTTCTGTTCCTGTGTTAGTTTACTGAGGACGATGGCTTCCAGCTTCATCCATGTCCCTGCAAAGCACATGATCTCATTTCTTTTCATGGCTACATAGTATTCCACGGTGAATATGTACCACATTTTCTTTATCCAGTCTATCATTGGTGGGCATTTTGGTTGGTTCCATGTCTTTGCTATTGTACATAGTGCTGTAAGAAACATATATGTGCATGTGTCTTTATAGTAGAATGAATTCTATTCCTTTGGGTATATATCCAGTCATGGGATTGCTGGGTCAAATGGTATTTGTGGTTCCAGATCCTTGAGGAATTGCCATACTCTCTTCCACAATGGTTGAATTAATTTATATTCCTACCAACAGTGTAAAAGTGTTCCTATTTCTCCACAGCCTCTCTGGTATTTATTGTTTCCAGACTTTTTAATAATCACCATTCTGACTGGTGTGAGATGGTATCTCATTGTGGTTTTGATTTGCATTTCTCTGATAATCAGTAATGTTGAGCTTTTTTTCATATGTTTATTGGCTGTGTAAATGTCTTCTTTTGAGAAGTGTCTGTTCATATTCTTTGTTCACTTTTTGATGGGGTTTTCTGTTTTTTGTTTTTTTTGGATTTTTTTTTGTAAATATGGTCTAATATCCAGGATTTACAAGGAAAATCTTTTTTTTTCAATTTTCAACAAAGAGAACTAAATATCCTTTTTTTAATTTTATAATTGTTTGTCCTTACAAAATGCACCAGAACAATACAAAAATATATAAACAAGTTGTAGGCATATAATAAAATAACCTCAAAATATGTAAAGCAACAATGAATAAAATGACAGGGCATATCTGACAATGCTACATGATATCAGAAAATTTCCATACACTTATTTTTAATATTGATAGGTAAAGCAAATAAAAATAAAGATGTTATGTTAATCTGCTCTTGCATCGCTATAGAGAAATACCTGAAACTGGGTAATTAAGGAAAAAAGGTTTATTTTGGCTCACAGTTCTTCAGGCTGTACAGAAAGTGTGGTGCCAATATTTGCCTCTGGCAAGGGCCCCAAGAAGCTTACAATCATGGTGGAAGGCTAAGGGCAACCAGCATGCTATATAGTGAGACACAGAGCAAGAGAGGGAGCAGAGAGTTCCCAGACTCTGAAACAACCAAATCTAATGCATACCGAGTGAGAACTCACTTATCGCCAAGGGATTGGTGCTAATCCAATCATGATGGACTCACCTTCCATGATTCCATCACCTCCCACCAGGCCCCAGCTCCAACATTGGGAATCACTTTTCAACAAGAGATTTGGAGGGAATAAATATGCAAACCATTTTAAACAGTAATTAAAATATAGAGATTTTAACAATATACAAGGTTTTGGTTAATATTAACTCAGAGAAGTTTGTTCTAGCATTAACAGACTAATTTTACCCCCAGGTTTTGATATGCAGAATGAGAAAAACATTGTAAGAGCCCTGTTAACAGAAAATAATGGCCAACTGTAAGACTCCATTTAGTTTTGTGCAGTTAGTTCTGACTAAAGACAAAACAATTATGATTAAATAAGTATTAGAAGGTAAAAAATATACCTACATTAGTCTGATAAGGTTGCCATAACAAAATATAATAGGCTCGGTGCTTTAAACGATAGCAATTTATTTTCTTACAGTGATGGATACCAAAAGTCCTAGGTTAAAGTATGGCAGGGTAGGTTTCTCGGGAAGATTCTCGTGGCTTGCAGGTGGTTGCTTTCTTGCCATGTCCTCACATGGCTTTCCCTCTGTGCTTGCATATATATATATATGCATATATATATATATATATAGAGAGAGAGAGAGAGAGAGAGAAAGAGGGAGCCTGAAACTAAGAGCAATTCTCTGATGTCTTTTCTTATAAGGATATGAATCCTATCAGATCAGGGGCCAACCTTTATGATTGAATTTAGCCTTAATTAGTTTCTTACTTTCATTTTCTAATACAGCCATACTCTGGGGGTTAGCGCTTCAACATATGAATTCGGGGGTGATAGGTAAATCACAAATATTCAGTCCATAAATCTACCTGTCATTACTACATAGTATACAAATTGCCACACAAAAAAATAGAAAATAATTTATAGATACCTTATTATGGATACTAGAAAAGTTTAACAAAGTTGCTGGATAAAGTATCAATAAACAAAAATTAATTTTATTTTATGCCCAATCAGCAAAAGAAAAGTTAATAAGAAACATGAGTTTCAGTGACACCAAAATATATGTGGTTTTTAGAAATAAATCTAGTAAAAGCAGAAGATTCTAATAATTGAAATGATACAAATATGTTCAAAATATCATTCCAACCAAAATTGCAAAGTGATTTTCCAAGGAACTTAATAAGATGCTGCTACATAAAAAAACACAGAGCTCCAGAGGAATTTCAAAATAATTCTTATAAGAAGAAATATGTTAGGGTACTTGTATGATTGGGTATCAGTATTTGTTACAAAGCTCTAGTAAAGAAGATTGTGTAAATTAGAAAAAAAAAAGAAAAAAGAAATTAAAACAGTACACAACTACGGAAAGTTGGTATGGTATGTTGCAGAAATTATATTGAAGATTACTAAGAATAGAAAAATTAGATCAATAAAAGTGACTAGCTCAATGGTTAATTTGTAGAAAAATGTAGACTTGGTACTCATTACATCATTTACATTATTTAATTCTAGATATATTTTAAAAAGCAGACATAAATGAAAAAAGGAAAGGAACTAAAGAAAAATATGACTATAATATTAGAAAAGACTGAAAATCAGACTGCATTAAAATGAAGACTTTTTTTGGCAACAGATACAAACATAAAAGTGAAAAGTATACATTTCAATGTTACATTTAAAGACAATCTGGGGACCGGGCGTGGTGGCTCATGCCTGTAATCCCAGCACTTTGGGAGGCCAAGGCGGGAGGATCACAAGGTCAGGAGATCGAGACCATCCTGGCTAACACGGTGAAACCCCGTCTCTACTAAAAATGCAAAAAATTAGCCGGGCGTGGTGGCGGGTGCCTGTAGTCCCAGCCACTTGGGAGGCTGAGGCAGGAGAATGGCGTGAACCCGGGTGGCGGAGGTTGCAGTGAGTCGAGATTGCGCCACTGCTCTCCAGCCTGAGTGAAACAGCAAGACTCCGTCTCAAAAAAAAAAAAAAAAAAAGACAGTCTATAGAGAAACCCAATTAAACTAGAAACAAATAAATAAAGTGTAATAAACCCACCATAAAAATCAGCAAAAATCTAAGTTAAAAAATTAAGAGAAAAAAAGTAAGTAAAATAAATGGAAAATACAAGAAAACCAATCCTGGATTTAAACTATTGTTTAAAATTGTCAATCTTTGTAGTAATCATTAAAATAAAAACGATAGTGTTGTCAAGTTTTACATTAAAGGAGTGTAACAGAAGTTGACAAGTGTGAAAATATAAATTAGTGAGAGAATGGAACAAGAAAAACTTTTATATGTTAGTGGAGGTTAAATTGTTACAAACACTATGAAGAATAATTTGGCATTATTATATAAATTTCAACATGTACCCTTCAGTCGTTCCATTCCTAGGAATAGAACCTACATAAAATCTTCATGATGGTTTGGATTTGTGTCCCCACCCAAATCTCATGTAATCCCCAGTGTTGGAGGACAGGGCTGGTGGGAGGTGATTAGACCAAGGTGATTAGATGAACTGGGCATATTTCCTGGTTGCTGTTCTCATGATAGTGAGTGAGTTCTCATGAGATCTGGTTGTTTAAAAGTGTGTAGCACCCTCCCCACTCTTCAACCTACCCTGGCATGTAAAACGTTGCCTACTTCTCCTCACCTTTTGCCATGATTGTAAGTTTCCTGAGGCCTCCCCAGAACCTGTATGCCATGCAGAACCATAAGCCAACTAAACCTCTTTTCTTTATAAATTACCCAGTCCCAAGTAGTTATTTATGGCAATGCAATAATGGACTAATACAGTCTTGCACATTATAAAGACCAATACTCAAGAATTGTAATATGCAAAATTATTCATAATAACAAAAATTTGGAAATAATGTCTATCAACAGGACAAGCATAAATAAATTGTCATATATTTACCAAATGGAACATTATAAAGATTGAAGAAAGATAAATTGGTGTTGTAATGATGACATAGATTAATTCTAGAAAGAAATTTATTTAAAAAACAAGTTTCAGGACCGGGCATGGTGGCTCATGCCTGCTGTAATCCCAGAACTTTGGGAGGCCAAGGCGGGCGGATCACCTGAGATCGGGAGTTCAAGACCAGCCTGATCAACATAGAGAAACTCCATCTCTACTAAAAATACAAAAAAATTAGCCAGGTGTGGTGGCACATGCCTGTAATCACAGCTACTCAGGAGGCTGAGGCAGGAAAATTGCTTGAATCCGGGAGGCGGAGGTTGTGGTGAGCCGAGATCATGCCATTGCACTCCAGCTTGGGCAACAAGAGTGAAACTCCATCCCCCCCAAAAAAAAAGAAGTTTCAAAATGGTACTTTCAGTGCGATGCTATTTTATAAGGCTCTAAAATGTGATAAATATTAAATGTGTTAACTAGATATGCACATATGAGTACATAGTCACACACAGTATAAAATAATAAAAGAAGGCCAGGGAATGACATCTGAAATTCAAGCAGGAAAATGAGATAACCATAGTGCACACATGTGATTGGGGTTTTTTGGGGCAATGTTTTGTTGTCAAGTGTATGGTGAATTTAGGGGTGTTCATTTTATTACCAAGTGTCATGTGTCATGAATTACATGAACCATACGTTTGTTCCTTTTGTGGTACATGCTTTACATAACAAACTGCTCTATAACAAAACATTTTTTAAAATGAAAAGAAATAAAATTTTAAGCAATCAGTCTAATCTTGCTTATCCACATCTGGCACTAACAATTTTAAGGCCAAAATATAACATGAAATTGTTTTGTAGTTGGTGCCAACTTTAGCCGTATTTATGGTTTTAACCCAATACTGCAGTCCCAACTGAGAAAGAAAATAAATAAGTAAAAATTGTTCAACGCAGCAATGGCTGAAATTCACATACACTGAAACTCTGTCACTTTTGAGGTGAGCCTCATCTTACATTAAAAACATTTTTTTTTTCTGGTCATCAAAATGCTGCCTTATCTATTCCCCATACCTGCAGTCCCAGCTGTGGCCAAGTGCTGAGGATTTTTGGACACAGAGATCTGTATAATCTGTTCACGCAAGGCGTGCACCTTGCTTTGCTCCAGCCTGCACCTCTTACAAACATTCACCTGCCTTCACACACCTGCTGTGACAGCTGCATCAAGAGGCTAGCTCTCACCATGGGGTATTTTGGTCCCAAAATGCCACTCCTTTTGCCAATTTCTCAAAGTTTCCTTGCCAAAGCCCCATATTTTAGAGTCTGAAGGTGATAGTTTTGCACATACTCCTAAAAATTGAAGTTTTCAAACAATGAGGAAGTAGACACAGGATAAGACAGAGAACAAAATATAAACATTATGTTATGTTTGTTATTATAGGATACTACAGCTGTGCCTGATATCAAAAAGATCTCTTTAATACTACCTTTACTACCAACCAACACCTTTGGACTCATTAAATGGGATGGGCAGTTTTTCAGCCAGATTTACAGAGGCTTGCACTCCCCCTTGGATAGGGTTATGGAAGATGCAGAGTAAAAGAAAGTTTTGGCCGGGTATGGTGGCTCACACCTGTAATCCCAGCACTTTGGAAGGCTGAGGCAAGCAGATCGCCTAAGGTCAGGAGTTCAAGATCAGCCTAGCCAACATGGGGAAACCCATCTCTACTAAAAATACAAAAATTAGACGGGTGTGGTGGCAGGCACCTATAATCCTAGCTACTCAGGAGTCTGAGGCAGGGACAATTGCTCAAACCCGGGAGGCAGAGGTTGCAGTGAGCTGAGGTCGTGATAGAGAGAGACTCCGTCTCAAAATAAATAAATACATAAATAAAATAAAAAACAATAACAATGAAATAAAAAAGTCTTGCAATGTATTGGTGATAGTGTAAATTGCTAGAACCATTTAGAAAAAGTACTTGTCATTGTCTATAAACAATCATTCATACTGCTAAGATCATTTGAGGATTTTTATAATAAAATTATAAACATGCACACACACACACACACACACGCACGCACACAAATATATACATACATACTCATCCATACTCTCATTCAGCAATTATATGGGGAAGATTGACATTGATATTTTCTGAATTAGAGGTTAGAGGTTAGTTTTCATATACACTGATTAATTACATATTTTTTACATAAAAGTTATCAAATGTAAAACAATGTTCTTTTTTTTTTTACTGGGCAGCATGGCATACATTGTTCTTATACTCACCAACTATATCTTTATAATATTTGCACAGAAGATTTGTACAATCTAAATCGGGATCAGGGTGATTTACTTTCAGTGTGAGCTGAGACTCAAGCTCTACATATTATTTAGTGACTTAAATGTGCCCCATGTTTGAGGGCTACAAAAACAAGTAAAGACATAGAAACAGCTTTCAAGAAGCCTATTGAAGAATAGATGAAGAGGATGTGAAAGCACATGCAATATGCCTAGAGATACTGTGGTATAAATATGTATAGGCTATACTAGGGGTAGAAAAGGTGGTAAGAATGTTTTTTTTTTTTTTTCTGAGATGGAGTCTCTCTCTGTCACCCAGGCTGGAGTGCAGTGGCCTGATCTTGGCTCACTGCAACCTCCACCTCCCTGCTTCAGGCAATTCCCCTGCCTCAGCCTCTCGAGTAGCTGGGATTACAGGCGCACACCACCATGCCCAGCTAAGTTTTTGTATTTTTAGTAGATACTAGTCTATTTCTTGTTTATATATCACAAGTATGAATGGCATAAGCAAATGTAAAACATACTATCTTTAGAGTGTTCTTTGGGGCTAATTTTTTTGTATTTTTAGTAGAGACCGGGTTTCACCATATCGGCCAGGCTGGTCTCGGACTCCTGTCCTCAGGCAATCCACCTGCCTCGGCCTCCCAAAATTCTAGGAATACAGGCATAAGCCACCACGTCCGGCCGGTAAGAACAATTTTTTTTTAACATCTTGGGTCACAAATGGCTTTAAAAATGCAATATCATTTGAGTAGAGTTGCAAACCAGAAGTTGATTTTCCTAGGCCAATTGATGTGGAAAAGAGATCACAGGAATCAAAGACTCTATAAAATTTAAATAATCGAAAACACTGAAGCCATATTTTTGGAAAAACAAAAGTGTTTTAACTTCACTAATCTCTAAAGGAAAGAATAAACAATCACAGCCAGATAATTCACATTTGCTTGTTACAAAAGAAAATAGCATGACATAGAAAAGTGACTTTATTTGAACACCACATTAAAAAGATTTAAAATGTTAAACCGTATATGTTAACAACAAATAAAGACGGGAAAATGCATCCATTCACTTTTTTTTTTTTGAATAGGAAGGCAAATTCAAATGCAGTAATAATGGCGACTTTCACCATGACTGAGGGAAAAAATCTCATAATCTTATATTCTTTTAAATCAGATACCCTTTATTTTAATTTTCAAAGCCGCTTCAAATGTTTATGCAATCTACCTGCAAGGGTTGTTCATTTGTAGGAAATGCTTTCCTTGATCTTATCCCTATAATATCACCATTGAGGCAGAACTTGGCACTTTAATGAAACTCCTGTGTTTAACATATCTAGCCAGCCCTACACGGTAACATTTCATTGTCATGGGAACAAAGTAAATATTTAAATATGATTATTTCATGTGTTATCTATTTAGTGAGTTTCAGAATAAAACAGTAAGCTATTTATACTTTAAGTGTGGGTGGAGACAAAGATGTGATTTCATGTACAATAAGACTCTTCATGTAGTATTTAACAACTTCAAATACAACACAGGCATAATACAAAGACCAATAATAGAATCTTAGAGCAGGAAGAATAGTTCTCACAAAGTTAACTTAGCATTACTTGGCTCAGCAGTATTTCCTTTGCATCTACGAGCTTTTGTAATATTTATAAAGCTGGTTGAAGAAGCTTCATTTTCTAGTTCCCATTTGCATCACAGGGTGCATCTTTAAATAAAAGTTATCAATTGGAATGAGGGTTAGGGCTCTGAGAGACATCAGTAGTGAGAAATAAACAGTAGTGAGAAGAAATATTTACCTAAAGAAATCTAACCAAGTTGCAGTTAAGCAAACACACACACACATGCTTTATCAATTATAATGATCTTAAACCACAAGTATAGTTGAATTGTGTTAGTTGTTTGTTGCTAAAGCAATGCATTACAAAAGCACTCTGATTCATTAATTTATTTTCACATTGCAGCTGGAATAAACTCTTCAATGATGTAGATTACTGATGCTACTTCACTGTTTAACATTTTTCAGTAGCTTCCCATTGTTCTTAGAAGTTAATCTCTCTCATTGTGTTGCTTCTTTTTTTTATTAATGGAATTTTTTTTGAGGCAGCAACTCCCTCTGTCACCCAGGTTGGAGTGCAGTGGTGTGCTCAGAGCTCACTGCAGCCTGGAACTCCTGGTCTCAAGAGATCTTACTTCAGCCTCCCAAGTGTCTAGGACTGCAATGTATGCCTCCATTAAAAAAAAAATTATTCAAACTTCTGTAGAGAGGTGTCTCCCTATGTTGCCCAGTCTGGTCTTGAACTCCTGGCCTCAAGTGATCTGCCCATCTGGCCTTCTAAAGGGCTGGGATTACAGGGGTGAGCCACTGCACCTGGCTGGAACATTTTATTTCATTTTTTTAAAATTTAATTTTATTTCAATTGGTTTTAGGGGAACAGTAGTGTTTGGTTATATGAGTAAGTCCTTTAGTGGTGATTTCTGAGATTTTTGGTGCACCCAACACCCAAGCAGAGTACACTGTACCCAATGTGTAGTCTTTTATCCCTCACCCACCTCTCACCCTTTCCCATGAGTCTTCAAAGTTCATTGTATCATTCTTATGCCTTTGTGTCCTCATAGCTTAGCTCCCAATTATAAGTGAGAATATATGATGTTTGTTTTTCCATTCCTGAGTTATTTCACTTAGAATAATGGTCTCCAATACCATCCAGGTTGCTTTAAATGCCATTATTTCATCTTTATGGCTGAGTAGTATTCCATGGTGTGTGTGTGTGTGTGTGTGTGTGTGTGTATGATATATATGTCACATTTTGTTTATCCATTTATTGATTGATGTGCATTTGGGCTGGTTACATATTCACGCAATTGCAAATTGTGCTTCTATAAACATGCATGGACAAGTATCTTTTTCATATAATGACTTCTTTTCCTCTGGATAGATACCTAGTAGTGGGATTGCTGGATCACATCATAGATCTACTTTTAGTTCTTTATAGACTCTCCACACCATTAGTGGTTATACTAGTTTACATCCCCACCAACAGTGTAAAAGTGTTCCCTTTCAGCACATCCATGCCAACATCTAATATGTTTTTTATTATGGCCATTCTTGCAGGAGTGAGGCCACAGTTACCACAACAGCATGGTACTGGTATAAAAATAGGCACATAGACCAATGAAACAGAATTAAGAACCCAGAAATAAAGCCAAATACAGCCAACTGATCTTTAACAAAGCAAACAAAAACATAAAGTGGGGAAAGGGCAACCTATTTAACAAATGGTGCTGGGATAATTGGCAAGCCACATGTAGAAGAATAAAACTGGATCATCTTCTCTCACTTTATACAAAAATCAACTCGAGATGGATCAAAGACTTAAATCTAAGACCTAAAACCATGAAAATTTTAGAATGGAACATTTTAATTCTTGCTAAGTGTAGTGACCATAGAACTTTCACTTTCTCAAAGATATTTTCCCTGGATTTCTCTAGACTTGGTAATTTTTTCCTACCATTCAATTTCAGAGTATCTCTGTTTCCACTTTTGAAATATTTATTAGTCATAGATACTTGTTTAATAAGTGTCTTCTAATTGAGACTAAACTCCATGCAGAGGTGATGACCATTTTAATCAAATTGCTATTTAATGAATAAATTCTTACCTGAATGATGAGACAAATACTTTTGATACCTTTGATTTTAAATATCATCAAACAAGAGAAATCTGACATGTATTTAACAGCATGCAAAGAAAACAAATAAATACAATAAAGGCCAAGATGAAACTCCTACTTAGAAAACAAAATTAAATAACTTTTTTTAGAATATTTACAATTAAGTTGTTGTTAACCTCTCCAAACAGTTTTCATTAATTATCATGCTAATGGAACTTGTTTGAAACAGACTAAATGAACTAAGCATGCTCAGAAGTAGCAGGGTGGTCTTCCACACCTAAATATGTACTCACAGATATTTCATATATTTTTCCATGTTTGCCAGCTGCTTTAGAATGGTAAGACAAGACCAGGCAGAAAACAAGCCAGTCTTTTTCATAATCCACGAAGGCTGTGTTTTAAGACACCTGTATTAGCTTTCTATTGTTGCTGTAACAAATTGCTGCAAACTGCCGGGCTTAGTGACTCAAGACTGTAATCACATCCTACAGGGATGGAGGCCAAAGCAGGCAGGTCACCTGGAGTCGGGAGTTCGACTGGCCAATATGGTGAAACTCCATCTCTACTAAAAATACAAAAATTAGCTGGGTTTGGTGGCACACACCTGTAATCCGAGCTACTTGGGAGGCTGCGGCATTAGAATAGCTTAAACTCAGGAGACAGAGATTGCAGTGTGCCGAGATTGTGCCAATGCACTCCAGCCTGGGCGATACAGTGAGACTCTGTCTCAAAAAAAAAAAAAAAAAAAAAAAAAAATTGCTGCTAAACTTAGTGGCTTAAAGCAATGCCAGTTTATCTTATGGTTCTATGATCTAAAATGGACAGGTAGGACTGCGTTTATTCTGGAGATTCAAATGGAGAGTCTATTTCTTTGCCTTTTTTAG
This sequence comes from Homo sapiens, assembly GCF_000001405.40. Taxonomy (NCBI): domain Eukaryota; kingdom Metazoa; phylum Chordata; class Mammalia; order Primates; family Hominidae; genus Homo; species Homo sapiens. The sequence continues at coordinate 69,542,622 of NC_000013.11, read as the reverse complement.
TTTTCAGTGACTTCTGGTTTTCTTTGGTTGGTATTATATATTATTACTATAATATTTATTAAATTATTATTAATCACCTACTATGTGGTTAGATTTGTTCTGTGTGTTTTATATTTTTATTTTATTCTGACAATGATACTGTAATATATGTGATTTCCTTCTTTAAATGATAAGAAAACTGAGACATACCATGAGATTAAATGTAGGCCTGCATCGATTTGAAAGCCTTACACTTCAGTGAAAAGAATTAATCACCAAGATAGCCTAACAGAAAATGTAGGCTATTTACAAAACCACCAAAGTGTACCGTTGCTTACCTTCCCTTCTGTAGCAGAAATGACATTATGCATTTACAAATACCTAGATATATAATAACAAAGTTTTAACAGGAAAAAAATTATGTTGTAATCAAAGATTTTAAATCCAAATAATTTGACTTTCGTGAGTGATGACAGACATCAGAAGGCCTTTTCATGAATATGATTTGCTATATATGTTGTATTTTTGAAAAAAATGCTTGTTATCATTAATATAACTGAAAAATAATAAAACTTACTAAAGAAAAATTGAGAAGATGCAACATGAAGGACTACAGAGTTTTCTTTATTTAATTTGAATCTAATTGGGTTATATTTTATTGGAAAACTGTATAACCTAGAGGCAAAATCTTAATCACATACTTCTCTTAGCTGATTGTCTTCCCTAAACCATACCAGAAAATTTCCTATCTATCTTGGAGGCTTCCTTATATAATTTATGTGACCTTTTTTTTTTTTTTTTTTTTTGCCTTATGTCATCTCAAAATCCAACCAGCAATCCAAACAGCTGAAAAAATAACCTCTCTCCAATTCCAATCACCTAACACTCTTGGCTCTTGATTTCTTATAAATTTTAACACAAAATTTAACTGTTTGTGAGATTGAAACACTACCTGAATGATTTCTAAACAAAGTACCTAAATTTTTCTCTTTGAAAGTAGAGTTGTTTTAAGTTGCTCAATTTAATGTTTGTCTTGCCCAGGAGTTGTGTAACTAATATTGAATAACTTGAATTATGCCCCCTACCACCTAACCCACTCACACTGAAAAGCAAAACAAACTCAGACAGTGACAAATATTATCCATGAAGGATCCCTTTAAATTTTGTAATTGCTTCTGCAAAATCTGTAAGTATGGAGGGTTGACTACATGAGTAGTCAATATATTGTAGAGAATGGGATCTAGTTTTGTCATTATTAGAGAAAAAATTCACAAATAAGAAATGGAGGTGAGGAATAGGGATGGGAAGAGGGTTAGAATGAACACTACAGTGTTGGATTCAAGTCCAGAAGTATCAGTATGAGCTTATGTTCTATTTTACCCTGTGTGTTAATATATATTAGATATAGAAATAAATTTCGATGTGCATACATGGGTTAGCATACCTATGTATGTTTCTTAGCTCTATCCACTGAAAGGGCTTAAGTGCAGTGTCACTTCAGTAGCAATGGGCACAGTGATGCAGATTTTAGTTGCTAATTTCATCCAAAACAAACAAACAAACAAACAAACAAACAAAAGAATCATGGTTCTTTGGAGAAGTAAAGGATTCTCAGCTAGAGAATATGGGAGATGAGCCCAGAGCATCGATGCTGACAGAAAAGAAGTATGAAAAAGAACTTGGGGGTCTGGGCATGGGGGCTCACACCTGTAATCCCAGCATTTTGGGAGGTCGAGGACGGCGGATCATCTGAGGTCAGGAGTTCAAGACCAGCCTGGCCAACATGGTGAAACCACGTCTCTACTAAAAGTAGAAAAATTAGCTGGTGCATGGTGGCGGGCACCTGTAATCCCAGCTACTTGGGAGGTTGAGGTATGAGAATCTCTTGAACCCGGGAGGCGGAGGTTGCAGTGAGCTGAGGTCATATCACTGCATTCCAGCATGAGCAACAGAGTGAGACTCTGCCTCGAAAGTAAAAGAAGAAGAAGAAAAAAAGAAAAAGAACTTGGGGAACATTGAGAAGACACGGGAGTCAAAGTAAAAAGTGCTCTCAGTGGCCAAGGATTGAACAAATTGAGCAAAAAAGTAAATAATAATATTTGGTTTACATTCAATTAATAAAGTAAATATGGATAAGTTCATACTGATATCAATAAATAACAATAAAAAAGCAAATGTAGGAGAAGGAATTACTCTTCTTTACAAAAGAATTATAATTAGTAAATTTTAAAAGAGTGAATGAAATAGAAAACAACATTAGAACACTGAATTAATACTGTAAGCAAGATCTGATGGATATTTATATTAGTGGGCAAAATTTAAGGAGCGGTGGAATATTTGCAGAATGTCAAAAATCTCCCCTCGAGCAAGTCTTTATTACTTAAAAATGGAAAAAAATAGTAATTTTACAATGAAGAAACCTAGCCACAAAACTTCATTATATATAGAAATGATTAAATACTAACTACATATTAAGAGAAATACAATTTACACTTAATAGCATTTTAAAAAATTATTTCCTTTGTTTAATTAAAATCTGAATCACGTTTTTTATACTCAACTCTCCTCCTGGTAATAGTTTTTCTGTGTGAGCATGGAAACACTTGTTTGATCAGAAAAATAGTATACACACACACACACACACACACGCACATATTATCATGGTATTCAATATTAAACTTATATTCAAATTTATACAAAATAATTATTACGAAAATACTGGAAAAAGTATAGGAAATGAATAGTGGGTAAGAAAATGAAGGTATGGAGTTAACAGAAAAAGAAGGAAAATACAATCATTCCCAAGTATATTTAGGTTAGAGATTGTTTGGAAATTGGAAAACAGTATTTTTTTCTTCCCTAGAAGTGTATCTTGTGGTGAGAAATATAAATAATGCAAGGATTAGAGTTAAATGGATGGAATAATTTCCCAGCAGTGTTGAGAGAAGTTTGAATCTATGACACTGATGAAAATGTCTGCTTCAGCAAAGAGAAAGAATATTCCTATTCGCAGAGAAGATAAGAGCCAATAGATGAGGATAGAGTGTGGATGGAAAAGGAGATGGTGGTAAAACTCACAGAGGATACAAAAATCGCAGTACATATCTAGGCTGCAGGTTTCTGGGGGGTAGTAATGAGATTAAAGACTAAGGAAAGTACTTAATAAAATATTTCCATTAAACACGAGGTTTAAGTTTGAAAACAGGTTTTTTTTTTTTTAATGGAAAGCTTTGGTTATTGGTTCTCTATTACAGTTTTTTTAATCTAAATGCATGGTGTGCAAAAACTGTAAATCCTAAGGCAAAAATGCCTGTTTTATAGACAAATTTTTACTGTGTTTTTGACACAGTTCTTAATGCATAGTGGGAATACAAGTTTGCATGAAAAACAAAATGAGTCACACCAGCTGAATTAAGGTGTTAATGCAGATTGAGTAGCAAAAGTTCTGAATAGAAAAATGTCGGTGGCTTAAAATCTTACTGCCTTCGAAATCATTCTGAAGATAACCAAAACTTTGACTACTAAAACTTAGAAAGAATAACTTAATTTTTTTACTAATGACAAATTATTATCTTTCCCAATTATTGATTCTATTTGTTTTTCATCACAATTAAGGCCTTCATTTTCTTGATCACTTTACATTATTTCATTTATTGACTTATTATATTTATATTTTGTATATCATATTAATTATATTAAACTATCATGTATTTTACATTTTAAACATTATATCTATTTCTTCATGTTTTGATAGCCTGTATTCCCAATGAGTCTGGAAAGCATACCATTTTTAATGGTTTTATTTTTTAATCTTATAAAGCAGCAAATTAACATGAAAAATGATTAAGGGAGTATGTCTCTTGAAAACTAACATTGTCATAATTTTTTTAATATATTCCCAGAACATAACATCATATGACTATATTGTATTTACTCTTATTAAACTTAGTTATGTGTTTATTTCTTTTTATGACAGGCTAGTTGTACTGAGAATATTTATTTAATATAGAAATGTTATTAAATAATATATATTTTGTTCAGTGATTTGATAAGCCACTTTTATCATCTACTAAATCAGACTGCTCATTTGGGTAAATTCAGGAATTCTAGTTATTTCTATTGAGGGGATTCTTCCTTAATACTTACCTTTTAAAAAATGATTGTAGCTTTATAATAAATTCTAGTAACAGTAGTGTTAAACCACTCTCGAAATAGAATTTTATATAATTTTGGTGAAATTGCAAAAAATTTTCCTAATATCTAATTGTATCCAAGTTGGAATACCGTTAAACATACAGCTATCTAGGATAAATTAGCATTTTTCCCACGGGGACTCATCTTTTCTGCAAATATTTTTAGTATGGTTTTAGGCTTTCTAGTAAAGTTTTTAATTATTTTATGCTTTCTAGAAAAGTTTTTAATTATTCCTCAGGTAGATACAACATATATCACCTTTTCTACTTTATAGGCTGTTTTTTTTTTCTATTTTTAATGGCACATTTTCTTCCTTACAGTTTTAATCGCTTTTACCTGGTGTGTGTAAAAATTAACACATACATAATAATATTGTAGTTAGTCATCTTACAGAATAATCTTATTGTTTTGACTGGGTTTTCAAATTATTCTTTGTAACGTTTTAGGTACACAAATTCATTAAATACAATTATATAGATTCACTAATAATAATACAAATAATATTAACTGAATAATTGTCTAGCTGTGTGTCTTTCAGTAAACACTTATTATGCATAAAGTATGAGAACAAAATCTTCAATGGACAGTATATGTATTTGGCTGGCTTAAAAACTTTGGAGAACGTGGTTTTAAATAATCTGTGAGGAAGTATATATAGAGTGAATGTGATTAGAGAATTTAATGTTCTTTAAATAAAAGGCATTCATTTCTTATTTGAGTACTTTCTAACTAAGCCTTTGTAGGCGCTTCTGTCGCAAGGTAAAATATTTGCATGCATATACTGACATCTGGTGGAGATTCCGTATATTTAATGTAAACTGAGGAGAAAAAAAAAACATGGACAAAATTCTATTTAAATTTATATATTAAAAAAATAAAAACTGGCCGGGTGCAGTCGCTCACGCCTGTAATCCCAGCACTTTGGGAGGCCGAGGTAGGTGGATCACTTGAGTTCAGGAGTTCGAGACCAGCCTGGGCAACACGGTGAAACCCCGTCTCTACTGAAAATACAAAAATTAGCCGGGCGTGGTGGCGGGCGCCTGTAGTCCCAGCTACTCGGGAGGCTGAGGCAGGAGAACGGCGTGAACCCGGGAGGTGGAGCTTGCAGTGAGCCGAGATTGCACCACTGCACTCCAGCCTGGGCAACAGAGCCAGACTCCGTCTCAAAATAAATAAATAAATAAACAAAAAATAAAAACTTATTTTTCCTTCGTATTCTTGGTAATTCATATATAAGAAAAATTTAAACAGTCTTGTTGGACTCTATATAAATGTATTATAAACTCCATTTCCAATTTATAGCACATGTAGAAATATATTTAGCTCATTGTTTCCTAGTGTCTAACACAATGGTTTGCACACTGAAGATGCTTTGTGTTTGTGGTGTTTACATTACATAAATATATGTACATTTTTGTAGCTAAGATTATTGCAAGGTCAAAACATCTTTATGTAGAAGAACTGACTGAAGAAATGGAGATGCTACATACATAGCAGTGTTTTATTAAGTTAGGAAAATCTCGGGAGGCGGGGAGAAATTAGATGGCAAGAGTTTCAGATAAAGTACAAAATTCTAGAATTAAGGGTACTTTTTTAATTTTTGAAGAAATAGCCTATGCAAACAAAACACTCCAAGTTGGATGGCTAGTTCTGTTGTATGAAGATCTCAGGTAGGCCTCAAAGCCCAATAAGTAACTAATACAAACATAATCTGCTTAAAACGTTTTGTCACTCTGCTTTGGAACTGTGATTAGTAAGGATTTTTTAGTCTGAAGGCTGTATCTTCAGCTCACAAGACAGACTTTAATTACATTTTCTTTTACCAATAATCCATACACTTAAATGCTGAGTGACCTCTCCCCAGCTTACAAAGGAATAACCCTGAGAGGTTAGGCTCCTCCAGAGCCTAGGCTGACACTACAGACCTTCCAGTTCATCCACACCGTAATATTTCTTGACCTTGCGTGTCTGTCACATTGCTTGTTTGTGAGTTCTGAAAAAAATATCACAAAATTCAAGTCATAATTCATGCCTGTCTTCAAATATAAAGTGATTTTGTGCCCTGGTCTATTTCTCACATCTGACAAATCATACTGAATTTATTAAATTGACCATGTCGAAGATTTATTATAGTCTGAAAAAATAAGGAAATTCAAGACAATTTATCTAAACCTATCTATATGTATGCCTCAATTTTATTCTATCTAGGGGTAGATGTAGAGTCTATGCACTATTTCATATGTTCTTAATTTCTACTTCCCAATTATAAATTCAGATTAATTCCTTAGTATTTAAAACTTTAAAAGTACATTTTTTATCCTTCTTGTAAATAGTTTTTGAATATTTTGAACACATTTCTTATCTTTTTTTCCATTTCTTTGCCTCTTCCTTTTCATACCTATTTCAGCCTATCTCCAATTTTAGACCTTTTTTTCTCATCTATTTCCCCATACTGCTCTAGATGTCAGACAGTGAGATTAAGAAAAATGATACTTGATATAGATCATAACTATAACTTTAATATCATTTACTTTAGTACTGGAAAATACCATAAAGGTTATGCAGTTCTACTTTCTTATTTTATACATAGATAAAATATTTGATGCAAAGGATCAAGTTATTTCCCCAAGGTCATTAGGAAACTCACTCACAGAACTAGATTTATCACTGAATTCATTTGTCTAGTACTCTTTCCCTATTTTCACTCTAATTTCCTAGAAGGTCCACCCTAGTAAAGCCATAATCTAACAATTTTTATGCCTCAGAAAATTATTTTCATTCACAATTTAAAGTGAGACTTGTTATCATGAATTCCTATTGGAGGAATGCTAAATGTGAACTTTTTGTTTATTAATTTTATTGATTTTAAAGTTTACTTTCTTCGAATCAACTTGTTTCTAAGTGAAATAGCTCGCTTACAAAGCGAGTTCACTTAGGATGTAAGATAGCTATTTAAGTGAGGCCTTATTCTTCTAAATTTTTATTTTTGCAAAATTTCCACTGAATAATATTTCCTATCTCTGGTTTGCAAATCTGAAAACAGATTAGGGGGTTAAAGTAGTCATAAAGTAGATAGAGTGAAGACAAGATAAATAAACTCTCATAATTCTTAGATTTTCTGTGGCATTGACCATGCTATTTGTGAAAGCTTAAACTCTTTCTCTTTCAGTTACTAAATTCAGTGGTCCTTATATTTGAAATTTTTACCTTGAATTTTAATTTACTTTTGCCATTTCTCTTCTTTTCATTCATTCTATCAACTTTGCACTAAGTGCTTACTATTTACTACATGCAAGAGCCTGGCAGACCAGAGGTAAAGGCAATAACCCTGTTGAAAAAATCCCTTTTCCTTTAAATTTTCCACTTCCCCAGCTTTCCTAATGGAGAAAACTCTTTCTTACTCTTTTCCAGTTTTGAAAGTTCCTGATCTCTCTCTCTCTCTCTCTCTCTCTCTCAATCTGCCTCTGTGTGTGTGTGTGTCTCCTAAGGATCTCTTACCCATACTAAAATTTGATTCCTTACACATTGCTTTTCTGTCCCCATACACTACCCCTTTGGGTGATTTCATTGACTTACATTGTTTCAACTACTAATTATGTGTCTCTTTCTTCCAAATGTATTTGTCCTCTTAGACCTCTCTTTGCAGTCTAGGATTCATTAATCAAACCATTTGCTTGCTCTACAAACATAGGCCACACACAGGAGCTTCAAAAATGTCAAAACTGAACAAATATTCTTCCTCCCAAGGCCTATTTTGTTATTTTTTTTCTTTCTGCTGGCTGAAATGCATTTGATCTACTAACCCAACCTGAAACCTAGAAGTCATCTTGGCTTCTCTTTTGTTTTTCCCTTTATCCCCTCCTGTGATTAGTCATCAATTCCCTTGGTTTTACTTACTATTTATTTACAATCAATCCGTCACTTCTATTCTTATTTTCTTGCTCTTATTTATACCCCAATACACTCATAGCTAAAAATCATAATAACTGTGATTCTCTTGCTTCCTTTTCTTGTTTCCCACCACATCTGCCCTTCTCATACATGTCAGAGTGACCTATCAAACGCAATTTTAAGTAATTATGGAAATACTTTCCATGGCTCCTCATTTGCACTGCATTAAGTCTCAATCTCGTTAATCACATGCACAGAATAGAGTCTTTTACAACCAAAACTTTACACTTTACAGCCAAATAATGTTGAATTGCTTTTAGTATCATATATGTATTGTGTGTGTCCCATGTAAATATATAAAATGTCTTCAGACGGGCGTGGTGCCTCACGCCTGTAATCTGAGCAGTTTGGGAGGCCGAGGTGGGCGGATCATTTGAAGTCAGGAGTTTGAGAACAGCCTGGCCAACATGGTGAAACCCCATCTCTACTAAAAATACAAAAATTTAGCCAGGCGTGGTGGCGTGCGCCTGTAATCCCAGCTATTTGGGAGGCTGAGACAGGAGAATCGTTTGAACCCAGAGGCAGAGGTTACAGTGAGCCAAGATCACACCACTGCACTCCGGCCTGAGTGACAGAGTGAGACTCTATCTCAAAAATAAATAAAAAAATAAAATAAAATAAAATGTCTGCAGGTGTCCTCTCTTCACCTACCTCACTCCCATTTATAAGCTAAGGCATCCACCAACAAGCCTGAATGGATAGTCAATGTTTGGCTGGGGATACTCCTGTGTAACTTACTAGTGCAGTCTGTATATTACTCTCTTTAGCTATTAATCATGCCTCATAATCAGCAGTTATCTTCATCTGCATGCCCCATAACCACTTCTAATAGATGTTAAAATCTGTGAAGACAGGGGCATCCAGAACAAAAGCATAGTGCCTTGTGCAAGACAGGCTTTCAAATATTTCTTGAATAAAAATTTCAAATAATAACATTACATTATAGTTGGTAATAATTTATTATGTGTATATTTTAAACATCAATCTGATCATGTCATGTCCCTGCTTGAAACTTTCCATAGGCTTTGTACTATATTTGTGTGCCTTAAAGTTCTCCTTTTTAAACTTTCAAAATTAAAAACATTTAAGAGCTTTACTTTTCCTATATGTAGAATATTCTTTTCCTAGATCTTCTATGGGTTAGTTCTTCACCTCCTTTGACCTTTGTCCAAATTTTACCTTATCAGAGAAATCCTTACAAACCTGGGTCACATTTAATTTGTTCATACCTTAATACAGCCTGATATATATTAGTTTATTTATTTATGCATCCCTCTGAGTTTGCTAGACTACAAGTTCCATAAAAACTAGAGTTTTATGTAATTTGTCCATTGTTATATTCATGGCACCCAGATTATTATACATTTATAATGTTAATGTATGAAAAAACAGATTCATCATTGCCTAGTTTATCTCTGAGTTGCAAAAAAAAAAAATATGATTTCAGAAAATGTTTAGAGAAAATACCTTAACCCAATGAATTCACCTTAGTGATGGCACAGGCATATCTCAGAGACAATGAGAATTCAGTTCCAGACTTCTGCAATAATGTAAAAATCACAAAAAAAACAGTCACATAAATTTTTTTGATTTCCCAGTACAAATAAGTTATGTTTATACTATACTGTAGTCTGTATGTGTGATAGCGTTATGTCCAAAATAAATCATATAAATACCTTAATTTACAAATACTTTATTGCTACAAATACTAAAAATCACCTGAGCCTTATGTGAGTCATCTTTTTGTGGTCTTGCCTTGATGTTGATGGCAGTTAACTGATCATGGTGTTCATTGGTGAAGGTTGGGTTGGCTGTTGCAAATTTTTAAAATAACACAATAATGAAGTTTGCCACATTGATTGACTCTTTCTTTCATGATATATTTCTCCATAGCATGTGACACTATTTGATGGTATTTTACCCATAGTAGAACGTTCAAAATAGGAATAAATCCTCTCAAACCCTGCAGATGCTTTATCAAGTGTTTTTGTATAATAGTCTATATCCTTTGTTGTCATTTTAAAAATAGTAACAGCATCTTGACCAGGAATAGATTTCATCTCAAGAAACAACATTATTTTCTCATCCATAAAAAGCAACTCCTCATTTTTAAAAGTTTTATTATGAGATTGCAGGAATTCAGTCACATCTTCAGGCTGTACTTATAGTTTTAGTTTTCTTGCTATTTCTACTACATCTGCAGTTACTTCGTCAATTGAAGTCTTAAACCCCTCAAAGTCATCCATGAAGGTTAAATCAACTTCTTCTAAACTCCTGTTAGTACTGATATTTTGATCTCTTCCCATGAATCACAAAAGTTCTTGTTGCATCTTTTCCAGAAGGTTTTCCATTTACTTTGCCAAGATCCATCAGAGGAATTTCTATCAATGGCTTCTATCACCTTTCAAAATATATTTATTAAACAATAATACTTGAAAGTCAAAATTACTTTTTGATTCATGGGCTGAAGAATGGATATTGTGTTGCCAGGCATGAAAGCAACATTAATCTTGTACATTTCCATCAGAGTTCTTGGAGGACAAGGTACATTGCCATTGAGCAGTAACAGAGTTCTTGGAGGACAAGGTATATTACCATTGAGCAGTAACTTTTTTTTTTCAGTAAATGTAAACAGTGGGCTTAAAATATTTGGTAAACTATGCTGTAAACACATGTGCTGTCATCCAGGATTTGTTGTTCTATTTATAGAGCACAGGTAGAGTAGAGTTAGCATACTGCTTATGGGCTCTAGGGTTTTTGGAATGGTTGGTGATCATTGGCTTCAACTTAAAGTTAACAGCTGCGTTAACCCCTAACAAGAAAGTCAGCTGTCCTTTGAAGCTTTGAAGTCAGGCATTGACTTGTCTCTCCAGATATGAAAATCTTAGAAGGTATCTTCCTTTAATAGAAGGCTATTTTGTCTACATTGAAAATTTGTTCTTTAATGTAGCTATCATTATCAATTATCTTAGCTAGATCTTCTGCAAAGCTTGCTGTAGCTTCTCCATCAGCACTTGCTGTTTCACCTTCTACTTATAGAGATGGTTTATTTCCTTAAACCTCATGAACCAACCTATTCTAGCTTTAAACTTCTATTCTGCAGCTTTACCACCTCTCTCAGCTTTCACATAATTGAAGAGAGCTAGGGCCTTGCTCTGCAGTGGGCTTTGGCTTAAGGGAATGTTGTGGCTGGTTTGAGCTTCCATGCAGACCACTAAAGCTTTCTCCATATTAGCAATAAGGCTGTTTTGCTTTCTTGTCATTTATTTATTCACTGGAGTAACACTATTAATTTCCTCTATGAACTTTTTCTTTGCATTCACAACTTGTTTAACTTAGTTTTCAGCCTATCTTGGTTTTCAAAATGCCTTCTTCACTAAGCTTAATCATTTCCAGCTTTTTATTTAAAACGAGAGACACATGACTCTTGCACTTAAGAAAGAAAAGTAGTTCAGAGCAGTCTGCAGAATGTGAGGTATGCAAGATTTATCAGACTCAGAGAGATACGAGAATGAATCTTCAGTCACAATCCTCCTTCACACGCATACCCGTATCTGGGAACAATTGTTTAAATGCATTTTGTTTTCTTTCCTTCTCCGTAGTTTCCAGACTAGCTGGTAAATTACCTCAAATGCTATCACAAGTTGCACAATGTGATTCTCATTCATTATCTTCATGTTTTTGGAATTTGTGATGCAAAGAACAATGTACAGCCAATCAATATTTATGTTCAAAAGAACTACCCCTTCTTTTTTCCTTTAAAAACCCACTTGTAACTGCTACTAATAGAACATATTTAAGGCAACTTGAATCTGTGTTTCTCAGGTTGTAGTCCTTATATTTGGCTCAAGTAAACTATCCACTTATATTAATTTTGCCTTTATTTTTGTCTTTAAGTCAACACATTGTAAAACTTAAAGGTGATTGTAGGGTTATTACTTGGCCTAATTTCAGTATTGTTGTGTCTCAGGGAATATAGATGCCCAAGGAGAGGGAGAGAGATGAGGGAATGACTGGTTAGTGGTGCAGTAAAAACACACACAATGTTTATTGATTAAGATCTCTGTTTTATATGGTCATGGTTTGTGGTGCCCCAAAACAAATAGTAACATCAAAAAGCACTTATCACAGATAACCATGACATATATAATAATGCTAAAAAAATAAAATATTGCAAGAATTACCAAAATACGACACAAAGATATGAAGTGAGCATGTGATGTTGGAAAAATGGCACTGATAGACTTGCTTGATGCAAGGTTGCCACAAACCTTCAATTTATAAAATATCCCAAATCTGCCTAGTGTAGTGAAGAGAAGCACAATAAATTGAGATTCATGCATATAAATTTATGGTATGTATACCTAGAGAGATGTTTGGAATATCTAGGACAGTATGGTAGTCCCTAAAATATCTGTATTAATTAGTCTATATACTAAATTTATACACAGGATTTTTTCTATTTAAAAACTAACAAGATTGTGTGGAGATTTGGGTATATGACTGAGGCTATTAATAAAACCATGAGTTACTGAAAGTTCTTGTGCATGGAACACGAAATAGTCTATGCTCTCATTAGGGCTATCGTAAGATTGGAACAGCAGATGTATACAAATAGATGAGTGGGAAGGGAATTCATTCTTACTGAATACTCAGTACATAATAAGTGAGGTGCACTGGGATTTATGTACCTTATTATTATTATTTTCTTAACTCTTGCTACTGTCTGCTATGTTAGCTATTCTTAAGTTCATTCTAAATATGAGTATCAAACAAATATTCAAATAAATTTAAAAACTTAAGATCCTTGGCTCATAAATAGCAGATCTAGGTCAAAAAATGGAACATAGCAAATCTAGGTCAAAAAATGGAACATATGTATATATACTGAAGAAACTGCTTGACATATAGGGAATTTGGGGTTATTCATTTATCTTTGAGGAGTTTAAACTATAAGCACTAGCTTGAAGCACTGTTATACATTATTAGTATTAGTATTATTAAATATACACTAGTGTTACCCAATGATTACTTTCAAATCCTTCTAGAAGTTATTTTCAATGCTCCTTTAGATGGAATATCAAAAATAATAAAAGGAAAATAAGTATTAACAGAGATATAAGGAAAGGCTGAATCCCTAAAACAAAAAGACTTAGGAAAAAAGTTATACACCAAGAGATTAAACTTAGTCTGCTTTTTGATATTATTTATGTGTGGATAGTTAGAAGCTGATTATTTCTAGACTAATACCAAGGTCCCTAGAATTAACTAGTAAAAATATCATGCCAATTTTTATTCTAATTCTTTCCCTAGATACTTGTTAAGTTTGGAGATATTGATATTATGTCCAATGATATGTGGAAATAATCTTAGTTGGAACTTTTTTTAACATAATGTATATTTGCAGAAATGAAGCATATTTATATATAAAACCTATTTGGCCATTAAATATAGGTCACTTACATAACAAAAATAGATAATGTCATTTTAGAAAAGAATATGATATAGTTTTCTTATTTGAAGAAGTAGTAATCTGAAATAATTCACATAATTTGGAGCTTCCAGATTTAATATCTGTTTTAATGAGCTATTTATTTGTATAGCTACATAGAATATTTGGCTATTGTTTAAAGATTAATATCAGTACCAATGCAATCATTCCCAGATATATTTTACAAAGTCAGTATTCTCCCTGTAAGTAATCTTTCTTTATCCAAGATAATTGGGGCTTACTCAAGTTAAATTGTCTATCAATATCTTACAGTAAAGTGGTTATTTGAGGAATACTTGTTTTAGGCCTTCAAGGGTAGTTCCCTGCCAGCAAACTAACATTGAAAATTAAAGCATTTTTTGGCCGGGCGCGGTGGCTCATGCCTGTAATCCCAGCACTTTGGGAGGCCGAGGTGGGTGGATTGCTTGAGGTCACGAGTTCGAGACTTTGAGATCAGCCTGGCCAACACGGTGAAACCCCGTCTCTACTAAAAATACAAAAAAAATCAGCTGGGCATGGTGGCAGATGCCTGTAATCCCAGCTACTTAGAAGGCTGAGGCAGGAGAATCGCTGGAACTTGGGAGGCAGAGGTTGCAGTGAGCTGAGATCATGCCATTGCACTCCAGCCTGGGGGACAAGAGCAAGACTTCGTCTCAGAAAAAAAAAAAAAAAAAAAAAAGAAAAGAAAAAAAGAAAATTAAAGCATTTTTATTATCCTATAAGCACAAATTTCCAGAATCCCCTTTGTTGAGAGTTTCATTGCAATGATTCAAAGTTGATAGACAAGAGCTGCTTAGATATTGATAATGCCTTATTAGAGTAGAACTATTAATATTTGAATCCTCTCAATCCCTTATGGTCAGGATGAAAAGCAAACTAAGTGTCATAACTACTGTGAGTGCAAGGCTGTGGAATTACAGAGAGATGTCAGGTGACAAGCAGATAAACAACAGCCATAAAGAAGAGTGCAACAGAAAAGACACATGAATGACAAAAACTTCCTTTTTATGCCAAGGGGGATGGTTGTTTGAAACAAGTGGGCTTTGCTTGGTATGGAATAAGGACCTAAATCTAAGGGAGGTGGTGGGGCAGGTAAGATACTGACACTTGGAAATGGGGCTGGAGGAATGTCCTATATTTGCTGTTTGTGACCAACTGGTGTAGTGAGTCACTGAGAAATAGCAGTTTAGTGTCTTTTACTATATCATACTCTGCATATGTCTGCATTTTGGAAGAGAATGAAATTAGGTGTCTTTCAGAAACATACTTTTCTTTGTTTTCTCCCCAAATCAATCCCTGCTCAAGAGTTCTAAGTAGTTATTATTGGGATTAATGTAGCTCTACTCTGCTCAGTCAACCTTCCTGTGTCCAGCTGTTTCAACAGAATGATCAATTTTGCATGGAAGCCACATAATGAAAATGAACAAATTTCAGTTATTTTTGGCTTTTTGAAATGCAGTGTAGTTAATTTGATCGATTGCAGAGAAATAAATTATTAACGTTACTCCAAAATCCGAATAACCCAAGTCATTGCTGACTTGACCATGTCAGCATGAGGCATAAATATTGGTTTCTCTATAGAAAGTCAAATAAACATGTTCAGTGTATTCACAATGAGGCAAAAGTGGACTCAATTATCACCTCTTACTTATTTTTTTCAGGTATGGTCAGTTTATCATGTTCTAATATGTTTTTTTCAGTAAACTAATAATTTAACAGTTCAGATGATTCACAGAAAAAAAAACACCAAAGTATTTGCTATTTTAAAAAACAGGAACAATTTTATAACTGATTAAATAAATGTGTGTATATATATATAATGTAAATATGTCAACATGTACTTAAAGTTGTGAAGAGTTGTCTAGATTATACATAAAATTATATGCCACACACTACACTCTGTGGTTTACATTTCTTATTTCCTTAACTCTTCTCATTTAACCTGTCATTAGATAAAAATCTAGATGAAAAATCTGTGGCACAGAATCATCAGAATGATTTATCCCTTATATGAGAAAACATATGAAAATTATGTCATGCATTCCAAATAGAAAGTTGCATTTGCTATTTGACCCATTATGATCTGCATTTTTATAAACAATGTTAATAATTGAATGGAGATATTCTAAAAGCACACATCTTCCTAAAACCTCAGAAAACACGTAACAGAATGAACCCTATGTGATCTCTCCTGTCATCTATTGTTATATATGTAATATGAGGTTAAAACTCTAGATTCAACTCGTGTAACAATAGCTGATGCTAGAAGTCTTGGCTGTATTTATCAACCAACATTCAGTGTCATGTTAATAATCTGCCATACTTAAGATTGTAGTTATATCATATACATTCTCCAAACTCAGTCCCATTACTAAACATTTCTAAAATGTTTTGCATATTTTTAACAATTCATTTGCTCTTCTTCACTTACATACCCATAATACCACAACATTGACTGTATTTTCCTTGTCACTACCCTAAACATATCTCCATTTTTTTAATTTGGTTTTCATTTTTCAAAATTGTGAATAATAGTATCGCCATTTACACAGACATCTAAATATCCAAGTTAAAAAAAAACTGTAACTCATTCTCAACCTCTCCATTTCTCATTCATTTTTTTACTTAATTATCTAAGCTTCGAATTTCTTTTTCCAGAATACTTGAAAAATTCATTTTATTTTTATTGTCTCTCCCAAACCTACTGATGTTTTAACTGATGCCTTATCTTTACTTTCCTAGAATCCAGTATCTTCACTGTCTTATAAATAGTTTACATCATTCTCAGCATAAAGCATACAACTGATGATATACTTCTACTAAAAATGCAACAATAATAAAACAAAACAAAGGCCAACACACCACCACTGGCTATACTAATTATTGGATAGAAATGGATAGAGGCCAAAATTATCATTGAAGCCTTCAAGAACTTTCATTACCTTTTGCTATCCTATTATTTAAATCTATTCACACTTTTTAGTAAATATCTATATATATCTGTACTATGTAATAAGTACTTTCTAGATGTAAGAAATACAGAAATGAATGCAATAAAGTTCATCATGTGCATTTTTAGTTTAATCCCACCAAAGAACATTTTGTTCAATGACTACGTCAAACTATACTAGTCAACATTGCTTTTACATCTATAGTAGAGATATTCTGAACCCTTTTTTCTTTCTTGTATTCCTGATAAACTTCTTCAGATTCAAAATTCAGAGCATATGTTACCATTTCTTGGGAACTTTCCTTGATTCTCTTATGTAGAGTTAGTTACTACTATAGTCATTTGTTCATGCTAGTGTTTTAAAATATCAAATATTATATAATTTGTAATTATTTGCTTATCTCATTCAATTGCCCTTAAATTTGGGGATCACTGATATCTTTGAGCATCTGATGAAAGCTATAAACCCTCTCTTTTGAAAACTGAACATACGTGCAAAATCAAATTGAGTATAATTTACTGAAACCTGTTAATGTAACCCAAGCTTAGTGTCTTACCATACATTTTTGGGTACTAATTCTGTTGTGTTTGTTTTAGATTGTCATTGCATTGTAAATATTTCTTGAAGAAATGGAAAAACCTCCTCAGGAAGAAATGGAAAAACCTATCAGTAATAATTACTGGGAGTTCTAAAGCACCAATACAATATGCTCTTTAAGAATAATAGTGCCCACAAAACTTTCCATGCAAGCTTCTCTTAAATTCTATAAAATTAAATAATGATCAAAACTGGCAAATAAGTATGTGATAGTGCCACAAGCGCATAGCTTTAAACGGTTTTCAGTATGTTATTTTTGTGCAAGTTGCATGGTCAGTGTTTATTGCCCTTCATTTATGAATATTTCTCACATATGGTTTATTGTTTTCAACCAGCTTTGCAAACTTGAGGGAAAAGTTAAGTTCTGAAAAGGCATTTAATGGAGCCTGCTTCTTACTTTTATTGTATCTTAAGGCGCATAGGTAAGTCTGCATTTGGAAGTTTGCATTCCAGCTGTATGAGCTCAGTCTCTTTTGTGAATGACAGCATTTGCAATTTAAGTCCATCTGGAACACCTCAAGCATTCAATTCATTTATTAACTTATTACCAAGCTTGGCATATGAATCCTCAGACTATCAGTGAGGCAGAAAACTTAAATGAAATTAGATAAACAGACTTTAATAGAACAGTATGTGTATTAGAGATATTGAAAAGAGCTTCCTGTTTTTCATTTTTAAAGAGTGCACGTCTATTTATCTCTTTGATGCCAGATTGGTAAAAATTAGCTTTGCCTTAACTTTACAGCAGATTTTAAAACTATTGTTGATAAAAAGAAATGAAATAACTGTTGTGGCCAGAAGAGGGAGATCTTGTAAAAATATTTGGAGCAAAAGTGTAAAAGAATTTTGAGATTTGCACTTAGATGAGTAAAAAGAAAGATGATTAAAGTTTAAGAAGTTAATGCTTTCTATAATTAGAAAAGTTTATTTTGTAAAATACCTTTTGGAAAAATGGGGCATAGCAATGCAATTTATACAAACTTTCATGTATAAAGTGTTATTTCTAATCATAAAGTTTTTATTATTGATAAAAGCTTGAATAAAATTCAAACAATAATATTAGGAAATACTTTTGGCTTTATTTATTTTCAGAACTTTAGGACTGATTTTTATTTCTTTAAATTAATTTATTTAAATTTAAATTTTTATATCATTAACACTCCATAAAAAATAAATTTAAAGCTAATACTATGACATTTAAAAAGAGTAATTTTAGTATTGATTATTAATTAGTAAATATTAATCAAAGGTATGCCAGCCCAAATACATATACAGGCATATACTTATTTGGGCACCCATTTGGCCTACTATACACATTCCCCCCAGTGCTTTCTCTGAGTGTCTCTCTCTCCCTCATTGACACAAATACATGTGTATGTGCATATATATGTATGGATGTATATTTGTATTACAATATGAAAGCATTTATCTTTGCCCCTCTTGATAGTTACAAAGTATATGAAAACAACCACAGATGGGGCACTGATTGTACCACCAGGAGGGCTTCACTTGATGAATTTGTGACATGATATGAGAAGTTTGCCATTGAATATTATTAATCTCTTCTCAACATCAATTCATAAAATGTAGGAATTGGCATTTCTTTTGTTTTGAGTACCACCAGTAAATCATGTACATTTGCATACGTATTACTGATATGTATGCCTCTCTCTTTTATGAAGCTTCCAACATTAAAGAATATTGATGTTATCACCCAACATATGTTCAATTGTTGCTCTATGTATGAGTTCATTTATCAAGCCAGTTCTAATAATTGCTTGAATTATTAGATCCAGTCCTTACTGGCTCTTTACTTTAGAAGTAGCTTGCTGCATTCTTCCTAACCTTGAATTAATACCTGGAACTCCAGGCCAGAATTAGGAATATTTGTTGCCATAGCATCCCAACAGGAAAAAAACTGTTGATACTTACTTCTTAAGATAGTGGAATCTTTTTAGTCCCTGGTGCAAGAACCTGTTTCAAACTCTGTAATTAAATACTGATTAAAGTCTGTATGGTTCTGAAGTTGACATGGCCTTGCCATTCTACCCACCAAATAAGCCTTTTCTACTGAAAAGCAATGTGTTGAAGTCCTCCTTATGGGGCTCCTTGGAGCCTACAATAGACTCTCTTTCATATAGTTTAATTTAGTCTTTACTGCATTAACATAAAATATACATTTGTACATCATTAAAATGTAAAATGATTTTTTATTTTTCTATCATTGAATGTCATTGAAGGTGAAGAGCTCTCCTTATTTTCAATGCCATACATTTATTTTTCAAGGTAAAGAAATAAGCAATTATTTCTGTGGAAAAATTCAATTTACAGAACAGAAATATAAAATACAAGAATGAATACTTTTGATATGAAATGTGGGTGACCTGACCATGCCTTTCTCTAGCAGAAGGAGAGGGAAGTAACAGGAATATGTAGTACAATGCCACTGATATGTTACCATATGCAAAAAATGCTAGACATTGCCAAAGGATAGATAAATATATAACAACAGTATAAAAGCCCATATGAGATTGACAAATCACAGAATACTGATACTAGTTATCTGCTGAAAAGTAGAGAATTCTAACTCTACTTCTAACATTTTTAAGTTAGGAGTTGGATACAAAGATAGACGGTTTGTACCTAGTTTGTGTCTTAAATGTTACATAATAAATGTAATTATAATTTTATTTATACTTTTGAGACATTATTTCTTCTCCTTCTTGCAATTGCCCAAAATTTGCATGTAAAATTTGCTATTATATTTTCAAGAGCTCTTTAGACAAATCCACAATAGGTGGTAATGGAACTCAATCTGAAACCTGGGAATTATATCTCTTTCTACACATTGTCTTTGAGAATAAGAAAAGAACAATAAGAAGGATGGAGGAGCAGCAGAGTTTACACTATTCCTTTGCAAAAGAAAATATGTAATGCTGCAATTTAAAAAATGAACTCTTTTTGTCTGTAGGCATTTTAAATATTTTGATTCAAAAATATTCCTCAATCTCACTGAGCCATCTGTTTCAATACCTCTGTTTAGCATTGCCAGAATAAAATTAACTACCCCATTGTCCTTAAAAACATATTAAGTTGTGATCTCTTTGTTTTAAAAAGTTATGAAGATTCTGTTGATTCTAATAACCGCTGGCCTTTACTACTTAAGAAAAGTCTTCTGATGCTACCTCTGCCAGTCATACTATTTATGATTTAAAAGTCAGCAGTTTCCCTTGGTTAGGAAGTATATGTATGATAGTTTCAGAGTCTAGAGATTTATGACTTTTATGTATGTTTGAGTGTGTGCTTGAATGAGTGAGTGTGTGTATAACTTATTTTATAATTTGTTGAAATAAATTCTGCTTTCCACGTGGTCTTTGCTCCTTCATTTTTGTCTAGCTTTGTCAGGCACTGTAATTTTTATTCTCCAGTAACTATAAATCTGGGAGGATGACTTTAAAGCTCATCTAAATTCAAAGTACCATCAATAGTGGGAATAAATCAGTAATTATTTGTAATTATAACCTTAGTGTTCAGAGGTAGAGGAAGAGTGATCTAATTAACTACATAACACACAGAGAAAATAATATATAACATTTCTTACCTTGTCTCACAAATCAGGTGAAAATCAAAATTAGTTTTTTTTCCTTCTTTTTAACGGTGCAGTGCTACTTTCTCCATGGAAAAGTAGGGTGTATGACAATTGTTTAGCAAAAAGAAACCTCATTGGCAGGCTGTGTGTGTGTGTGCGTGCGTGTGTGTGTGCGTGTGTGTGTGTGTATCTGTGTATTAGGCCTGAGATTATACTGTCTGACAACTGGGTAGCTTTCTAAGAAAGAACTAGAGGTCAAATGTGTCAAATGAGAGAGGAGTATTGTATTCATTTGTATTGTATTTGTATCCATTAACTCCTTCGTATAGTATTTGTATTCATTTAAAAATTCCCTGTAATAATTTTGGGGTCAGAAAAATCTTAATAGTTAATTATTCACTCTCTCAGTTTATAGAAAGTAAATTCAAAGTGAAAATTTAAATTCATCCTTGCAAGTGATATGATTGTATTTATTTCCCAAGACTAATTTTTTCAGCATGTGTTTCACTAGAATTTTTAAATAGTATTTTTTGGCTCAGGATTATGTTGCCCTATGAGCTCTAGGTTTAATATTAATAAAATATACTCCCAATGCAAAAATAAATGGTCTAAGTGAAAAGAATGTGCTTTAGTACTTATTTGCTACCTATTAGCAATTAGACTTTTAAGGAATCCATTTACATCTTGGAGTTCTGGTCCATCATCAGAACGAGGGGGTTGGTTTGACCTTGGCTCTCATTTTTATTTATTAAGTGTCAAAGTATATATGTAAATACATTAACACAACTAAAAAAACTACATAAAAGTGCATGAGACGTTACAAAATAGTTAGTGCATACTCTTTTTAAAGATAACTTTTGGAGCTCCAGTGTAGGAGGATCTAATGAAATGTATATGGAGTGAGAAGATTTACTCATCACTTAAAGCCCTGGAAACAAAGTAAAAATAAAAATTAAAGCCAAAAAATTTCTTAATGAAATGAATAAAATTATATTTGCTAAGTTAAAGAAAATGGCACAGTAAATTTGACCCAGGAAGATATCTGTTACAACTCCTCATTCTCTTTACTATTTTTTATACTTCTAACTTTATCTTCATTTTTTTAAAAAAAACAGCCTGAATTTTCTCCTTGTCCTCTGTATAGGCAATGCAGAGAAAGTACCTTTCCTTTTCACTTGTTTAACTATATTTTAAAATAATTCTCATTATTGACATTATAATTTATTTTAGATTTATAAGGTAATACTGACAACTACAATGCAGATAACCATTTATCCTCACGTTACTCAAATTCTATCATCTGTTTTCTTGTGTATGTTTATATGAGTTTATTGTTAATGACATAGTTTCAATTCTAAAATTTTTTAATATATGCACTAAATTTGACAGATTATGCAACTATGCGAATTGTTCATATATTCTTATTTTTAAACTGATATACTATGAGAAGCCTTTAAGAAAAGAAACAATATATAAAAGAATTGTCAATATGATTTATCATTTTCTTTCTTTTTTTTCTCTGATGGACAGATTTCTAGTTTTGCATAATACTGTATAGATTGTGATCATTAAATTGCAACATTATTATTTAATGTTTGTGTGATTAGCATTCTTTATTTGCTACTTATTGAAAGGAATATAATTAAAATCAACATATAAATGTATGACCAATATTTAAGTGTAAAATTAAGCTACTATGCTGGTTTCGCTTAATGGTAATAAACCAACAATTTATATCTACATCTAAATGTATAGCTGTAGCTATCTATATCTACGCCACCTACATCACATAAATCTAAGCACTTTTTAATCTAATGTCAGTTGTGTGATATCAAATCAATTTTAAAGCAAGAAGAATAAATACAACAGCAACCATTTTTTTCTGTTTTCTTGTTATAGACGTACAAGTGCAGTTTTGTTGCACAGATATATTAGCTAGAGGTGAAGTCTGGGCTTTTAGTTTGCCCATTGCCCAAATGCTGAACATTATGCCATGCAATATAATCAATAAAAATAATTGACTGTAGTGTCCTAAAAAATCCAGATTCCTTGTGCATCTGTAGCTTCTTAGATAGGAGTTCCACAGCCTATACTTTAGGAAACAATTAGCTATTATATAACATACAGACTCTACACACTCACACAAGTGGACTCATGCTCATGACTTACTTCTTCAAGTTGATTATTACTCTCCTACTTTTTACAGATAAACAAAGTAAGAATAGATTATTCTGAGAAATTGCCTGCAATCACAAATCTGAAATGGCTTATCTGTGACTCCAGCTAAAGTCAATTTGACTTCATGTCGCAGAGTCTTCACACTACACAAAGTATATATTTTTCTTTATAGAGTCAAATTGAAATATTCTATTAAAATAAGAACAAATCAGTTGATAGATTTCCGCTCTCAATTGCAATGTGGTTTATATATAGCCAGTGTAATTTGAAATGAAGGAGAGGATGGTAGATTATTGGAGCTAGATGTGCATGTACACTGTTTTTTGTTGGTTTTACAGAGTTTTTTGCATAGAAAGAGGTATTTAATGCTACTCCGGAGGCTGAGGCAGGAGAATGGCATGAACCCGGGAGCCGAGATCGCGCCACTGCAGTCCAGCCTGGGCGACAGAGCGAGATCCGTCTCGAAAAAAAAAAAAAAAGAAAAAGAAAAAGAAAGAGGTATTTAAACACCTTTTTTTTTTTTTTTTAACAAAAACAGACAGTTAAGGTTCTGTGAATATGACAAAGTTAATAGAATGAATCAAAATAGAATTTAGGCCACACTCCTTCATTGCTCTCTATTTATTCTCTGTTAACTTCCTATATTGTACACCCTCATTGACTATTCTAAATGATATTCATTCTTTCAGTTAATTTCTTAAGTAAATATTCAATATTGTGATGATTCTAAGCCAATGAACTTTATTTCTGTTTCTTCTTGCTCCACATTTTTATTCTCTTATGAATAGTGCTTTTCCTTCACCTTTCTGTATGACTTCTGTATTTCTGATGCTACTGATTTTTATTACTTCTGTTTTCTGTGTATTATTTTCATTTCTATTTCTTCCTCTCGTTTTATTTTAGCCTAAGAATATACATACAGTCACTCTTAGGATTACGATTCTTACAAGTAACACAGACCTCAAAACGGGAACTTAAATAAGCTACAAATTCCATGCAAAATCAATAATTAGGCAGCTGTTGCTGTTATGACACATTGAGGCTGGTAAGACATGTCAGGCACGCAGGCTCCCTGTTTCTTTAGTCTCATGACTACAGCTTCTTTTCCCAACGTCAAGTTATATTCTGAATGGCTTCTGGTGTTTAGTCATTGTATCCATATTCCAGCCAGCATGACAGAAGACAGAGGCACTCCCGTCTTTTTAGGATGTCCCATAATAGCTACAAAAGGTCACTGAACACTCCCTTCTCAGCAGTGGTAACTGGGACACCTGGCCACATCTAGCAGCTAGGGAGGTTGTATGATACAAGGGTTTAGCCAGGTTTCAGTGACAAGCTCAACCTCTGGGTTCTTTTACTAGAAAGAAAGAGAAGAGTGAATATTGAGAGCAAAGTTCCAAATGTCTAATCTTGTACTCCAGTTTGTGGTAAGAAACTCTCTCTTAACTTGCTAATAGTTTCAAATAACACATTTCTTCCATTCTCAAGTGTTTGAAGTTTGTTAATACTTCATTTTCTAACTTAATGTATACACTCTCTTAATTCCTTTCAATATTTTGTGCAGAAATCTTAAAAGTATAAAAATGTTTATATCTATATATTTTAAGATAATTCGTATTTTGCTGATTTTTTCACAATTGAAGAAACAGTTAAAGAAAAAGGCTAATTAATATATGGTTCATATTGGAATTAAATAATTTTGATCAGTGGATAAAATGAAAATATTTGTCCAAACATATTGTAACATTTTCTTAGTGTGAAAAATAGCAACATGAAACCAAAAAAATTACATTGTGACTTAATCATTATTAGAGAGCTGACGTACATTTGAATGTGGAGTCAAATGTGCTCCTTATAAGTTTCTGAGTTCATGTGCATTTTTCTCAACATCATCCTTTTATTTGTTTCATTTTAAAAATTTGTCTTTGTTTATAATGTATTGTTATCTTTTAATTCTTTTATATATTTTAATTCTTTTATATCTTTAATTTTATACATATTTATTTTAGAAATTCTATGCACTAATTAGATAACATGATGCCTTGGATGGTCTAATGCTACTTTTGTCTCTGTCTTGTGACCTTTATTCATGATAGATCATTTCCCAGTATATTATAATGATTTAATATTAAATCTTTTTAAATGAAATTCTATTCATGACAACCTGAGTTAAAGAGTTTCCCTCTGGAAAAATTTTGCATTTAGCTTCAGAAGTTTCCCCTCACGTATATCATCAATTATATGAAATTTTTATATTATTTATTTGGTAGAGGTTTTCTACATGCCACCTGACATACATTTGTTATGCTTAAGGCACGTTTTTAGGATATGGTTATTTAGTTGTGACCAACTGGGTCTAAGTCCGATATGACACATATAGCTTTCTATTAATGTTTCTAAATTTTTGTACTAGTTCTTTTTTTATTATAGTTAAAAACAGTACCATATACAATTTTGAATATAAATGTGATGTGTTTATCTTTATAGCTTTTTAGAAAACTAAGAAAACCTGGAGGATTCATAGCTCAACAGGTTCTACAACTTCTTGACATATTGACAGACAAACCCTGAATCTAAGTAAATTATTATACTGTTTAATAACAATGTTAATAACTAATTTTATTAATGTTGATAGTTGAGCTTAGAAAGATCTGCAGTGATGAAAACTGTTTTCAGGAGGCTGAGGCAGGAGAATGGCGTGAACTCGGGAGGCAGAGCTTGCGGTGAGTCGAGATGGCACCACTGCACTTCAGCCTGGGTGACAGATTTTCTAAAAAATATTTGTTAGATCAGACAAAACACACTTTTCTTCATGTTTGAAAATTTCTATAGATGGGTAAAAATGACCCTTCACCTGCAAATGTCCATTCTAGAGCTGGCTTTGGGAGTCAGGGTTTATGACCTTGCAAACTATTTTTCTCCCGTGCTACCTTGTTTCCTGTTTGGCTCTCTCAAGAGGATGTGTGGTAAAGAAGTCAGAAGGTTGAAAGAAGGATCAGTTTCTTCTGGATAATTATTTCTGTTTTTGCATCCTACTCTTGTAGTGCTACTAGTCTCGTTTTTTCACCTGAATACCGGCAGTTTGTTACACTCTGAGGTTTTTCCACCTCTCACATGACTAGGTCTTATAATAACCCTTTGTAGAGGCATCAGCACCAGGTAATCAGGACCTTTTTTCAGAGGTTTTTTCCCAGCTCCTTAAAATCTCGCCCACATCTCAGAGGCATACGTACAGCCAAGTAATACCACCTTTTCAAATGCAGGAGTTTCAGCTCCACAAGGTCCTTGCTCCAGGGCTCTAAATTTTTACTTAAAACCTCTTACCTCTGCTTTAGGTATAATAGCTGCTTCTTGCATTTGCTGCTTCTGTGTTAACTTAGTAGTTCCTTTTTTTACTTTTAACTTTTCTTTTTTTAATTTTATTTTCATTTTAAGTTCCGGGGTACATGTGCAGGATGTGCAGGTTTGGTACATAGGTAAGTGTGTGCCGTGGTGGTTTGCTGCACCTATGAACCGATCACTCAGGTGTTAAGCCCAGCATGCATTAGCTATTCTTTGTAATGCTCTCCCTCCCCACAACCACCCCCTTACAGGCCCCAGTGTGTGCTGTTCCCCTCCTTGTGTCCATGTGTTCTCATTGTTCAGTCCCCAGTTGAAAGTGAGAACATGTGTTTGGTTTTCTGTTCCTGTGCTAGTTTGCTGAGGATAATGGCTTCCAGCTCCATCCATGTCCCTAAAAAGGATATGATCTTTCTTTTTCATGGCTGTATAGTATTCCATGGTGTATATGTATCACATTTTCTTTATCTAGTCTATCACTTATGGGCATTTGGGTTGATTCCATGTCTTTGCTATTTTGAATGGTTCTGCAATAAACATACACATGCATATATCTTTGTAACAGAATGATTTATGTTCCTTTGGGTATACACCCAGAAATGGGATTGCTGGGTCAAATGGTATTTCTAGTTCTAGATCTTTGAGTAATCACCACATCATCTTCCACAATGGTTGAACTAACTTATATTCAATATCTATAAACATCTGATCTTTGGCAAACCTGACAAAAGCAAGCAATGTGGAAAGGATTTCCTAAGTAATAAATGGTTCTGGGAGAACTGGCTAGCCATGTGCAGAAAATTGAAACTGGGCCCCTTCCTCACACTTTATACCAGAATTAACTCAAGATGAATTAAAGACTTAAATGTAAAACCCAAAACTATGAAAACCCTAAGAAGAAAATCTAGGCAAAACCATTCGGGTTATAGGCATGGCAAAGATTTCATGCTGGAATCACCAAAAACAATTGCAACAAAAGCAAAAATTGGCAAATGGGATCTAATTAAAGAGCTTAGGCACAGCAAAAGTAATTATCATCAGAGTGAACAGGGAATCTACAGAATGGGAGGAAATTTTTTGCATTCCACCTGACAATGGTCTAATATCCAGAATCTAAAAGTAACTTACACAAATTTACAAGAAAAAAATCATAAAAAGTGGGCAAAGAGCATGAACAGACACTTCTCAAAGGAAGATATTCATGTGGCCAATGTACATACGAAAAAAAATTCAACATCACTGATCATTAGAGAAACGCAAATCAAAACCACAATGAGATACCATCTCATGCCAATCAGAATGGCAATCATTAAAAAGTCAAGAAAGAACAGATGCTGCCGATTGATTATTAAATACATAATTTTAAATAACAAATAATATGTAGAGAAACATATGGAGTTTTGAGAAATAGGTCTGAGATTATTGTTTTGAGAATCATAAAGAGAACGCTTTTACACTGTTGATGGAAATGTAAACTAGTTTTCTAATATTTAGAATTCTTATAGTAAATCCTCTCTGTTAAACTGAGCTATTTCAATATTGTACACCTTATAATAAGAATTTGATGAATAATACTTTATTCAGTAAAATTTGTGTCTTGCATGTGTATAATTCTTATTTATTGTTGTTATTATTGGCCTAAAACCCAAACCCAATTAACTTTCTTGTATTATGCTTCAAGGTGAAGTATTATCAGTGAAGTAAAAATATTAAAATCGTGTAGTGAGAGTCCAGAAAAAGAGGAAGATACCATTTTTTATTGGAATGTTTGTTCAGTAGATGGAATTCTTATGAGCAGAGGATCTGAAATAATGGGAAGGTTATTCAGATACGAAGGAATAGGATGAACAAAAAGGTACAATAGAAGAGACATTTGGGAAAACAAATCAGATCATTTTGATCATAGAATGTAGAACTCAAAAGCATGGAGTGTGAGCCCATGTGAACTGTAAAATGGTGGTATTCTCACTAGTAAAACAGTGATAATTCACTTCTAGATAATAGAGTTTTAAAGATTGTAAAAGAAATTATTAAATACATAATTTTAAATAACCAATAATATGTAGAGAAACATATGGATTTGTGAGAAATAGGTCTGAGATTATTGTTTTGAGAATCATCAAGAGAATGATGTTAGGCATAAATAAAACTTTTTTTTAAGATGGAGTTCCATAATGTTGTGATAGTGACATTTGCAGAAAGTTCATACCTCTGCTCCACTGAATTTAAGCTTGATCATATAAATAGTTTCAGCCAGTGAAGGTGAGCAGATGTGTTGAGAGCTGAGGCTTAAACATGCTTATTTGGCTTATATTGTTCTCTGGTGCTCACAAGATTTGCCAAAAGAAAATTTGCCAGATAGCAGCTAGAGCAAGAATGGGGAGACATGAAGAGTAGACATGAATCTAACCCAAAGATTAGAGCCAAATACAGCTGATATGTTGCCTGACATAGAACTGTACCAGTTGAAATGCAGACTCTTGAGCAAGGAAAATAAATGCTTATTGGAGGCCACTGAGCTTTGTGATAATTATCTCGTGATAATTCATTATGAAACCTTGTTGTAACAGCGGTTGACTAATACATCTAATAGTTATTATAAAGGTGCATAGCTTAATTAAAACTTGCTTCTTAACCAGTCACAAAGATCTTATTTGGGTGCCTGAGAGATGTCTGGGTACTTTCCTCTGCAGTTGTCTTTCTAAGAAAAACACTTCAAAAGCTGAATTAAACCATCTTCAAGTTCCTCATGTCTCACATTTCACCAATTCTAAAGGAACAGTTTTATTATACAAAAAATTAACCTTGATGTGACCTCTGTAATAATGTTTCCAAGAAAAAGTGATAATTCATTGTTGTTCAAAAGACGTGCCTCGTGATCCGCCCGTCTCGGCCTCCCAAAGTGCTCAGATTACAAGCGTGAGCCACCGCGCCTGGCCAGAAACATTCTTATCTATTACATTCTTTATTGTTTATCTAATGCTTCTGATTTGAATTGTCTCCCCTACACCCTGAAAAAAGGTGAAGCCCTAACCTCCAGTACCTGTGAACGCGGCCTCATTTGGAAATAGGGTATTTGCAAATAATGAAGCTAAGATTAGGCCATTAGCATAGGATCTAAACCAATATTACTGGTGTCCTAATATAAAGAAACATTTAGACACAGAGCCAGACATGAATAGAGGGAAGATGATGGATAGACCCAGAAAAAATTTCATCTACCTGTTACAGGTAGCGAGTCAGACATGAACATGATAGGAGAGGGCCCATCCCCGTTCCCCACAACCAGGAATGTCAGGCGACCATCAGGTAATGGTCAGGTGGTTGGTAACTGTCTCTCTAAAATAATAATTGGTTTCAGCCAGCACAAGAAAAAGGCAGTCTTCCTATGGATAGGGAAAACCTGAAACTGGTGATCAGTAGCTTTCCTGTAAGATCTCAGGAGTTTGGTGAGTGGGCTCACACATGTGCACTAAGAGGCAAAATGGCAGAGTTTAACTGGTATATGACCTCTGAGGGACATTTGGCTGGTAAGGGAAAAATGCCTCAAGTGAGCATGTGTACAGCTCCAGGTGTAAACTCACTGCGCATGCTCACCTCCCAAGTGCTAGCAGGCCACTGTCCTGCTACAGCCCACCCCAAGTGAAGAATCAGGAGAGATGTAACGCAAGATCCTAAAAGCAGGCCAACATATGAAACCCCAAGTCAAAAGATCAAACTATGAGCTTCTCTTTCAAAAAGCCCACTTGGCCCTCTTCCAAGTGTACTTTACTGTCTTTTCATTCCTGCCCTAAAGGTTATTAATAAACTTTCACTTCTGCTCTAAAACTTGCCTCAGTCTCTTCTGCCTTATGCCACTCAGTTGAATTCTTTCTTCTGAGGAAGCAAGAATTGAGGTTGCTACAGACCCATATGTATTCACCACCAGTAACACACTAGCCAAGGAATGCCTGAGACTACCAGGGCTAGGAGAAACGCATGGAACAGATTCTTTCTTACAAGCCTCAGAAGAAACTGATCCTACTGACACCTTAATTTTGACTTCTAGCATCCAGAATTGTGAGAGGGTAAATACCTGTTGTTTGAGCCTCTGGATTTTGTTACTTTGTTACAGTGGTCAGAGGAAGCCAATACACCTGGAAACTGTTGCTTTGCATGTATTATATGTTTTGTGAAAGGAAAATAAATCTTGGGACCCCAAAATCAGGAAGCCAAATGAAAGTCAAGCATGGAACAAGCCCACCTCCCATTTTATTCCTAAATAAGATAGCTACAAAGATTAAAAAAAGCTATATACTTCCCTCATAATTTTCCCATAAAGAAATTTCTTGTGTATTAGTCCATTTCCATGCTGCTGATAAAGACATACCCGAGATTGGGAAGAAAAAGAAATTTAATTGGATTTACAGTTCCACATGGCTGGGAGCCCTCAAAATTATGGCAGGAGGTGAAAGCACTTCTTACATGATGGCGGCAAGAGAAAATGAGGAAAATGCAAAAGGAGAAACCCCTAATAAAGCCATAAGATCTCGTGAGACTTTTTCACTACAATGAGAACAGTATGGGGGAAACCGCCCCCGTGACTCAAATTATCTTCCACCAGGTCCCTCCCAGTGGGAATCATGGGAATACAATTCAAGATGAGATTTTGGTGGGGACACAGAGCTGAACCATATCATTCCATCCCGGCTCCTCTAAATCTCATGTCCTCACATTTCAAACCAATCATGCCTTCACAACAGTCCCCAAAGTCTTAACTCATGTCAGCATTAACCCAAAAGTCTACAGTCCAAAGTCTCATCTGAGACAAGGCAAGTCCCTTCCAGCTATGAGCCTATAAAATCAAGAGCAAGCTAGTTACTTCCTAGATACAATGGGGATACAGGTATTGGGTAAATACACCCATTCTAAATGGGAGAAATTGACCAAAACAAACGGGTTACAGAGCCCATGCTAGTTGAAATCCAGCGGGGCAGTCAAATTCTGTAGCTCCAAAATGATATTCTTTGACTCCATGTCTCACATCCAGGTCACACTGATGCAAGAAGTAGGTTCCCATAGCCTTGGGCAGCTCCACCGCTGTATTTTTG
Source organism: Homo sapiens (assembly GCF_000001405.40). Taxonomy (NCBI): domain Eukaryota; kingdom Metazoa; phylum Chordata; class Mammalia; order Primates; family Hominidae; genus Homo; species Homo sapiens. The sequence goes on along the minus strand of NC_000013.11, from coordinate 69,511,263 downwards.
CAGGGTATCACCCCCTCCTGGTTGCTTTCTTAGGCTGGCGTTGAGTATCTGTGGCTTTTCCAGGTGCAAGCTGTCAGTGGATCTACCATTCTGGGGTCTGGAGGACTGTGGCCCTCTTCTCACAGCTCCACTAGGTGATGCCCCAGTAGGGACTCTGTGTGAGGATTCTGACCCCACATTTCCCTTCTGCACTGCCCTAGCAGAGGTTCTCCCTGAGGGCCCTGCCCCCACAGCAAACTTTTGCTTGGGCATCCAGGTGTTTACATACATCTTCTGAAATTTAGGTGGAGGTTCCCAAACCTCAATTATTGACTTCTGTGCACCCGCAGGCTCAACACCACGTGGAAGCTGCCAAAGTTTGTGGCTTGTACCCCCTAAAACCATGGGCCAACCTGTACCTTGATTCCTTTTAGCAATGACTGGAGTGGCTGGCATGCAGGGCACCAAGTCCCTGGGCTGCACCCAGCATGGGGACCATGGGCCCAGCCCAAGAAACCATTTTTTCCCCCTAAGCTTCCGGGTCTGTGATGGGAAGGGCTGCCATGAAGACCTACGACATGCCCAGGAGACATTTTTCCCATTTTCTTGGGGATTAACATTCAGCTCCTTATTACTTATGCAAATTTCTGCAGCCAGCTTGAATTTCTCTTTAAGAAATGGGTTTTTCTTTTCTACTGCATTGTCAGGTTGCATATTTTCTGAACTTTTATGCTCTGTTTCCCTTTTAAGACGGAATGCTTTTAACAGCACCCGAGTCACATGTTAAGTGCTTTCTGCTTAGAAATTTCTTCTGCCGGATACCCTACATCATCTCTCTCAAGTTCAAAGTCCCAAAAATCTCTAGGGCAAGGGCAAAATGCCACCAGTCTCGGTTAAAACAAAACAGGAGTTCCCAACAAATTCCTCGTCTCCATCTGAGATCACCTCAGCCTGGACCTTATTGTTCATATCACTATGGCATTTTTATCAAAGCCATTCAACAAGTCTTTAGGTGGTTCTAAACTTTCCCACATTTTTCTGTCTTCTTCTGAGCCTTCCAAACTGTTCCAGCCTCTGCCTGATATCCAGCTCCAAAGTTGCTTCCACATTTTTGGGTATCTTTTCAGCAACGCCCCACCCTACTGGTACCAATATACTGTTTCAGTCTATTTTCATGCTGCTGATAAAGACATACCCAAGAGTGGGAAGAAAAAGAGGGTTTAATTGGACTCACAGTTCCACATGGCTTGGGAAGCCTCAGAATCATGGTGGAAGGTGAGAGGCACTTCTTACTTGGTGGTGGCAAGGTAAAATGAGGAAGAGGCAAAAGCAGAAACCCCTGAAAAAACCATCAGATCTCGTGGGACTTTTTCACTACCAAGAGAACATTATGGGGGAAACCGCCCCCATGACTCCAATTATCTCCCACTGGGTTTCTCCCACAACACGTGGGAATTACGGGAGTACAATTCAAGATGAGATTTGGGTGGGGACACAGAGCCAAACCATATTACCTTGTGGACAAAGGACAGACAGGACTCAAATTCTCTGCTCACATGAGACAAATTCATATCTGATTGCTTCCTCTGCCCTGTTGTTTCACTAAGCCAGACTAAGGTATACCTGACTATTCCTCTACCCTCCTCTCACATGTAAATTGTATATTCAGTGAAAGACTAAACAGAAACTCAAAATAATGCAACCATTTGTCTCTTATCTACCTATCTCTTATCTACCTGGGAGCCCCTTTCACGCTTCAAGTTATCTCGCCTTTCCAATATACATCTCATGCATATTGATTGATGTCTCATGTCTCCCTGAAATGTATAAAACCAAGCTGTGCTCTGAGCAACTTGGGTACCTGTGGTAGGACCTCCTGAGGCTGTATCACAGGCACATCCTTAACCTTGGCAAAATAAACTTTCTAAATTGATTGAGAACTGTCTCATCTATTTTGGGTTCACACTTTCTATTAGTCTCCTATGCCTTTCAAGTAGGCCATGACAAAAAAAAGAAGAGGTAGTTTATTTTTAATTCTAGTTCCATTCTTCCTCTGCCTGATGCAGGAAAAACACTATTTGCTATTGATGGATTACCTTTCTATTAACTTTACCTTTGCTTGGGTCCAGATGTTTGTTTTACTGATATATTCTAGCTGATTCTGCCTTATAGGTCTCTTGGAGTGAGAGATACAGTTTTTGAATGCTGAGTATGAAAAAACATTCAACTTTTTCAAAACATACCTTGCCTACAACTGAGGTACAGTTTGGGTAATTCTGCTAAAAGGTAATCAACTACCTGTCCAGAATTCCAAACAGCTGGATATAATTTATTGTTTTCATGCTTTAACTTTAGCATCTCATCTTTCGAGTCCCCGCTTGTAGTCTGATGTTCTCTTCTAGCACAAGAATGACCTACTTTTCGACTTAATGTTATTTTTTAATCAAGAAAATCAACAAATACTTGAATTTCATACTGATATTCTCAAATCTTTATTTCTAAAATATTTCTAAATCTTACCTAATGAATAACAAAATTTTTTGAATAAAGAACACTGTTAGAGTATATAATTCCATATACTTTTCTGTCTCACAGCCTTCCTATGGAAGGCTTCCAAATTTTATTTTTATTTTATTTTGCTAACATCTTGACTTTCTCTTGCTATGAGAAATCTTTTTGAATCCTAATCAAAAAAGGAAGGAGCTTCAACTTTGCTAGTTTGACTTTTAAAATAGTTATATACGGGCATGTTATCTTTCTTCCTTCCTATTTTGTAGATTTCTATTTAAGACCTTCACTTTTCCTAAGCAAATCTCTTTTCTTCTCTAGCTAAATCAACATGGCTTTTTTTGCTTTTCTTTCATTCTAAACACAGTTCCAGTTCTGACTAAAAAAATGAAAAACTTCTTTTTAAACTCTTTCATTCTTCACCCTGTCTCTGTGCAATCTTAAGTTCAACTGACAAAATGTTACAAGCAAACTATTTTTAATTTATCACTTTGCCCTTGGGTTTATAATAATTACAATGATTTCTTCTCTCTGTCTCAGCCTAGTTGTATGATAAAATCAATCTCATGCTATGAAATCTCTAGTCCATATTATCTGTTCACTGAAGAGACCAGCCCTACTGTGATGTTGATTTACCCACAAACTGTCAGTTTCTGCAATCCACAATTATAATCTGGGTGAATGTCAGAGTCAGTTTGAAAACATGGGCTGGGAGAATGACTACAGGAGATTCTGGCAATGCCACGATAATGAAAGCAGTCACTTTTTCAACAATTTCTTCCTGGCCTTGAATGCTGTTCAAACAAGACACAGAGGAAACAATGTGGAGTAGGCCAAGCTCCATGGTGCTACTGATCAATGTCTTAAACTTTATATATCCCCAAAGTCATGTACTAGTACTCTGCTTTAAAAAAAAAAAAGGTTTCTTTCTTTTTTTTTCTTTTATTTTCTTTTTTTGAGCCAGAGCTTTCCTCTGTTGCCCAGGCTGGAGGCAGCGGTGCAATCTTGGCTCACTGCAACCTCCACCTCCTGGGTTCAAGTGATTCTCGTGCCTCAGCCTCCAGAGTAGCTGGAATTACAGATGTGCATCACCACACCGAGCTAACTTTTGTATTTTTTAGTAGATTCAGGGTTTTGCCATGTTGGCCAGGCTGGTCTTAAACTCCTAACCTCAAGTGATCTACCCACTTTGGCCTCCCAAAGTGCTGGGATTATAAGTGTGAGCCACCACACCCAGACTATTTTCATTTTAAGGTCTTGTTTTGCATACCTGAGTGAGAAAAATAAAAACAGAAGTAGCAAAAAAGATCCTATTTACTAAAGTCACAGGACCTGCCTATATTTACCTCTTCTGAGATGAGCCTTACTGGAATAAAATTATTTTTCCCAATAGCACAGACTTGTTTGTAAAATTACTTTTGTCACATTAAGTTGTTCAGACTCTGCTCAAAAAACTTTGATCCAAAATGCTTTGCCTTGCAAATATACTCATTTGATTCCAAATTGACCCACAAAATGTAAGTGATTCAGATGAAACAAACCAAACCAAATCAAACAAAACATGATTTTTAAGGGCTTTGAAAACCTTTGGTCCCCTTTTCCTTTGCTCCCTTTCCTCAATCAATTTCAGAACTTTTCTGGATTAAGTGAGTTGGCCATTAACCAGTGGGAAAACTCATTTTCATTCATTGAATCCTTGCATTTTTAGCTCCACAAACTAAAGATATATTGATACCACTGCAATAAATGAAAAGGCTGATCTTGTGTACATCTTCAGTAGTAAAGTATACAGGAAGGAAGACACATTTGCCCTCACTTAGAGAGGCACATTGTCTTAAGAAGCCTGGTCTCTGACCCCTGAGCCTAGTATGTTAGCTCAGAGCTTGCCAATAGCTACGCATAATATTAATGTGGGGAAATGATGGCAGAGGAAAAATGGCTAAGATACAGCAGGGGAAAAATATATATACATATGAAATGGTCACTATTTTGGGACAACAAACCTGGAAACAGGGAAATTGAGGAGCAGTGAAAATATTAGCATCTCTTTAATGCATCACGATTCTGCCCATTGGAATTCACTAATCAATGTATTAGCCTCTAAAGACAGGCAGAATATTCTGGGCAATGATACAGTAAGAACAACAAAAGAGTTTGAGTTTGCAATGTGTGTTCTTCTTTATGAGGAAAGAGAACAAAAGGTAACTACCTTACTCTCTTATAAATTTATTCTTACAGGCCAAAAAATAATTTATACATATCAGTGTAATTGATATTAGTGAGCTTATCAATGGAATTCATTATATAACAGGAAAAAAAGGAGACAGAGCTCTATATGATCATCTAACAAAAGATGAAAAAAATTTTTTTAATTATATTAAAAATAATTTTAAAATATTTTAAAAATTGTATTATTTTTGATAATATATTATGAATGTGCTGCAGTAGAAAACTCAATGATATGGTGTCTGGGGATAATTTTGGTATATTCGAGTTAAATAACTTCCAACTCTCTTACCTTGGACAAATTGCTAAATCTCTCAGATTCTTAGTTTCTTCACTGGTAAAATTGGAATAATAAAAATTACTGATCTCATTGCATCATCATGAGAACCACTAGTTGAAGGCAGACTTATGTAAAGGGTCTATCACAGTGGCTTGTATATACTTGGCATTCTATGGATATTATTTCCTTTTAAATAGTGTTATATATGTCTTAAATTCAGAGTAGAATAGCCAAAAATGTAACCATGACATATAAAAGTAAACTTTACAGATGTATCAAGTTCTTTGTTGTTATTCATATATACTTCAATAGTCTGTGTGATGGTTAATACTGAGTGTCAACTTGATTGGATTGAAGGATGCAATATTGATCCTGGGTGTGTCTGTGAGGATGTTGCCAAAGGAGATTAACATTTGAGTCAGTGGCCTGGGGAAGGCAAACCCACCCTTAATCAGATGGGCACCACCTAATCAGCTGCCAGCAAATATAAAGCAGGCAGAAAAACGTGAAGCTGCTAATGGTCCTGGCCTTCCAGCCTACATCTTTCTCCCGTGCTGGATGTTTCCCACCCTTGAATATTGGACTCCAGGTTCTTCAGTTTTGGGACTCGAACTGGCTTTCCTTGCTCCTCAGCTTTCAGACAACCTTTTAGGACCTTGTGATCATGTAAGTTAATACTTAATAAACTCCCATATATATATATATATATATATATATATATATATATATATATATATATATATACACATACATACACACACACATATATATATATAAAATATTAGTTTTGTTTCTCTAGGAGAACCCTGACTAATACAGATTTTGGTTATCAGGAGTGGTTCCAGAGGAACAGAATATTAAGGATGGAGTTCTTTCATTGGTTTTAGGGTTTCTGGAGTTGGCTTCTTAATATGATTAGACCTGAAAATGCTAAGGACTCTACTTCTAATAGTATGGGGAACACTGGTAGTCCGTGGCAGAAATCATTTAGAGAGTTATGCAAAATAAATGCATTTGGCACTCCTGATTCACCACTCATGAGAGGAAAGGAGTTTAGTGACTCTATACATAATACCTTTGACCATATGTGGAGAACAAAGGAACATAATGAAGCTAGTTGATTGCTCCTAAGTTCAGTGGACAAAGTGATGAAAGAAAATGATGAACTCAGGGATTCTAACTCCCCACTTCAGAAACAGATACTGAGCCTCAAACCTGCTAAGATTGCCCTGAGTAAGAGTTTTATCTTCTGTAGAGAAAGAGCTGAAACTGTGGAAAAACAGACACAAGCTCTTATTATGTGAGTGGCTAACCTGCAACAAAAGATGCATGCACAGCCTCGCCAGGTGTCTACTGTTAAAGTGAGGGCATTGATTGGAAAAGAATGGGACCCTGTAACTTGGACTGGGGACATGTTGGAGGACTCTGATGAAGCTGAGGACACTGAGTTTGTAAACTCTGATGAAACTTTTTTGCCAGAAGGAACAGCTTCCCCATCCCCAGTGGTGGCAGCATCCCCTCCTGGCCCATGCTGCCATCACCTTTCCGCCTTTGCCTGAGGAGATAAACTTTGTGTTGCCTTGGGCAACGGTGATGGCCTCCAATGAGGCAGTTGTCAGGCAATATAATGTTGATTCTCCTCAGAATCCACCCCCAACACCTCTGTTTGCTTTTAGACCTATAACTAGAGTAAAGTCCCGGTAGGCCCCTAGAGGTGAGGTTGAGAGTGTGACCTACGAGGAGGTGTGCTACACTCAAAAAGAACTGTTTGAGTTTTCTAATTTATATAAACAGAAATCTGGAGAACAGGCATGGGAATGGATATTAAGGGTGTGGGATAATGGTGGAAGGAACATAAAGTTGGAGCAGGCTGAATTTATTGATTTGGGCCCACCAAGTAGGGACCCTGCATTCAATGTTGCAGCTCATTGAGTTAAAAGAGGTTCTGATAGTTCTTTTGCTTGGTTAGCTGAAATGTGGATTAAAAGATGGCCCACTGTGAGTGAGCTGGAAATGTCTGATCTCCTTTGGTTTACTGTAGAGGAAGGGATCCAAAGGCTTAGAGAGATTGGGATGGTGTTAGTCACTTTAGGCCTGTTCATCCCAGCTGGGAAGGTCCAGAAGATATACCCTTGACCAATACTTTGTGAAATTGATTTGGAGAGCACCTGCACCTTTGAAGGGTCCTGTAATTGCTCTTCTCTGTATGTGAGATCTAATAGTGGGAACTGCAGTCACTCAAGGTGGGCGTAGCTACCATAATAGAGATTATGGGGCAAATGGAGATTATGGAGAGCAGAGGCAAAGCTGCAATCAGAATAGTCTGCCTTGTGTAGAGCTCTGGCATTAGCTAATTAATCGTGGTGTTTCTAGAAGTGAAATCAATAGGAAACCTATTGCATTCCTACTTAAATGATACAAATAGCAAACTTCTATGTCAAATGGACAAAAGACTAATTTGAATTATAAAAACAGAGAATCATGGCCCCTTAATGAATTTCCAGACTTGAGCCAGTTTACAGACTCAGAACCCCCTGAATGAAGGGGAGGCCAGGTTACCTTGAGGAAAGACCCCACTACATTACTGACAATTTATGCAGTTAATCTTTCTCTCATCCTTCCCTGAGGACACTTCTGGTCTTTTACCAGGGTAACTGTGCATTGGTGAAAGGGAAATTATCAGACATTTTGGGGACTACTGGACACTGGGTCTGAGCTGATGCTGATTCCAGGGACCCTTAAGTGTCTTTGTGGTCCTTCAGTTAAAGTAGGGACTTATGGAGGTCAGGTAATTAATGGAGTTTTAGCTCAGGTCTGAGTTACAGTGGGTCCAGGGCATCCCCAGACTCATCTTTTGGTCATTTCCCCAGTGCCAGAATGCATAATTGGCATAGACTTACTTAGCAGCTGGCAGAACCTCACTAGTTGGCTACCTGACTAGTAGGGTAAGGCCTATCATGGTGGGAAAGGGAGGTGGAAGTCATTAGAGCTGCCTCTACCTAGAAAAATAGTAAGTCAAAAACAATATCACATGACTTGAGGGATTGTGGAGATTAATACCACCATGAAGGAATTGAAAGATGCAGGGGTGGTGATTCCCAACACATCCCAATTCAAGTCTCTCATTTGGCCTGTGGAGAAGACAGATGGATCTTAGAGAATGACAGTGGATTATCATAAGCTTAACCAAGTGGTGACTCCAATTGCAGCTGCTGCATCAGATGTGGTTTCATTGCCTGAGAAAATTAACACACCTCCTGGTACCTGATATGCAGCCATTGACTTGGCAAATGCCCTTTTCTCCATTCTTGTCCATAAGGCCCACCAGAAGCCATTTGCCATCAGCTGGCGAGACCAGCAATATACCTTCACTGTCCTACCTTGGGGATATATCAACTCTCCGGCTTTGTGTCATAATCTTATTCAGAGAGGACTTGATCGCTTTTTGCTTCTGCAAGATATCACACTGGTCCAGTACATTGATGACATTACACTGATTGGACCCAGTGACCAAGAAGTAGCAAACAAACTGGACTTGTTAGTGAAACATTTGCCTGCCAGAGGATGGAAATAAATCCAACTAAAATTCAAGGAACTTCTACCTCAGTAAAATTTCTAGGGGTCCAGTGGTGTGGGATATTCCTTCTGTCAAGATATTCCTTCTAAGGTAAAGCATAAGCTGCTGCATTTGGCCCCTCCTACAATGAAGAAAGGGGCACAACACCTACTGTGCCTATTTGGATTTTGGAGGCAACAGATTCCTCATTTGGGTGTGTTACTCCATCCCATTTATTGAGTGACCCAAAAGGCTGCCAGTTTTGAGTGGTGTCCAGAACAGGAGAAGACTCTTCAACAGGTCCAGGCTGCTGTGCAACCTGCTCACAACTTGGGCCATATGACCAAGCAGATCCAATGGTGTTTGAGGTGTCATTGGCAGATAGGGGTGCTGTTTGGAGCCTTTGGCAGGCTCCCATAGGTGAATCACAGCGGAGACCTCTAGGATTTTGGAGCAAGGCCCTGCTATCTTCTGCAGATAACTACTCACCTTTTGAGAGACAGCTCTTGGCCTGTTACTGGGCTTTGGTAGAAACTGAACATTTGACTATCCGTCATCAAGTCACCATGTGACCTGAATTGCCTGTCATGAACTGGGTGCTTTCTGACACATCTAGCCATAAAGTGGGTCGTGCACAGCTGCATTCTGTCATCAAATGGAAGTGGTATATACGTGACCGGGCTTGAGCAGGTCCTGAAGGCACAGGTAAGTTACATGAGGAAGTGGCTGAACTGCCCATGGTCTCCACTCCTGCCACCCTGCCTTCTCTCCCCCTGCCAGCTCTGATTGTCTCCTGGAGTTCCCTATGATCAGTTGACAGAGGAAGAGAAGACTAGGGCCTGGTTAACAGATGGTTCTGCACAATATTGAGGCTCCACCAGAAAGTGGGCATCTGCGGCACTACAGACCCCTCTAGGACATCCCTGAAGGACAGCAGTGAAGGGAGAACTTTCCAGTGGGCAGAACTTCAAGCAGTTTACCTGGTGGAGAACTTTGCATGGGAAGAGAAACAGCCAGGTGTGCTATTATATACTGATTCATGTGCTGTAGACAATGGCTTGGCTAGATGGTCAGGAACTTGGAAGAAGCTTGCTTGGAAAATTGGTGACAAAGAAATTTGGGGAAGAGGTATGTAGGTGAACCTGAGTGGTCAAATACTGTGAAGATATTTGTATCCCACGTGAGTGCTCACCAACCGGTGACCTCAGCGGAGGAGGAGTTTAATAACCAAGTGGATAGAATGACCTGTTCTGTGGACACCTCTCAGCCTCTTTCCCCAGCCACCCCTTTCATTGCCCATTCGGCCTATGAACAAAGTGGCCATGGTGGCAGGGATGGAGGTTATGCATGGGTTCAGCAACATGGACTTCCGCTCACCAAGGCTGACCTGGCTACGGCCACTGCTGAGTGCCCAATTTGCCAGCAGCAGAGACCAACACTGAGCCCTCGATATAGCACCATTCCTCAGGGTAATCAGCTACCTGGTGGCAGGTTGATTATATTGGACCTCTTCCATCATGGAAAGGGCAGAGGTTTGTCCTCACTGGAATAGACACTCCAGATATGCATTTGCCTATCCTGCATGCAATGCTTCTGCCAAGACTACCATCTGTGGACTCATGGAATGCCTTATCCACTGTCATGGTATTCCGCACAGCATTGCCTCTGACCAAGGCACTCACTTTACAGCTAAAGAACTGCGGCAGTGGACTCATGCTCATGGAATTCACTGGTCTTACCCTGTTCCCCATCATCCTGAAGCACCTGGATTGATAGAATAGTAGAATGGCCTTTTGAAGTCACAATTACAATGCCAACTAGGTGACAATTCTTTGCAGTGCTGGGGCGAAGTTCTTCAGAAGGCCATGCATGCTCTGAATCAGCGTCCAAAATATGGTACTGTTTCTCCCATAGCCAGGATTCATAGGACCAGGAATCGAGGTGTGGAAGTGGAAGTGGCACCACTCATCATCACCCCTAGTGATCCACTAGCAAAATTTTTGCTTCCTGTTCCTGCGACATTACATTCTGCTGGCCTAGAGGTCTTAGTTCCAGAGGGAGGAATGCTGCCACCAGGAAACACAATGACAATTCTATTATACTGGAAGTTAAGATTGCCACCTGGACACTTTGGGCTCCTCCTATCTTTAAGTCAACAGGCTAAGAAGGGAGTTACAGTGTGGGCTGGGGTAATTGACCTAGACTATCAAGATGAATTCAGTCTACTGCTCCACAATGGAGGTAAGGAAGAGTATGCATGGAATACAGGAGATCCATTAGTGCATCTCTTAGTATTACCATGCCCTATGATTAAGGTCAATGGGAAACTACAACAGCCTAATCTACGCAGGACTACAAATGGCCCAGACCTTTCAGGAATGAAGGTTTGGGTCACTTCACCAGGAAAAAACCATGACCTGCTGAGTTTCTTGCTGAAGGCAAAGGGAATACAGAATGGGTAGTAGAAGAAGGTAGTTATCAATACCAGCTACAAACATGTGACCAGCTGCAGAAATGAGGACTGTAATTGTCATGACTATTTTCTCCTTTTTTTGTTAATAACATGTTCGTGCATATATACACTTATACTAAGAAAATACTTTCATTTTATTTTCTTTTCCTTTATTATGTGACATAAAATTTATTAACTTCCTATCAGCTCAACATTTAAGTATTGTTAGTGTTACATAATAGTATTTGGGTTGGAAAGTGTTGCATTTCTGGTTGTACAAATAATAATTGTATTATGTTAGGCATAATTGTGACATTATTGTTATTATTATTATTATTATTATTATTATTTTGAGATGGAGTCTCGCTCTGTCACCCAGACTGGAGTGCAGTGGTGTGATCTCAGCTCACTGCAACCTCTGCCTCCCATGTTCAAGTGATTCTCCCTCCTCAGCCTCCCAAGTAGCTGGGACTACAGGCGTGTGCCACCATGCCTGGCTAATTTTTTGTATTTTTAGCAGAGACGGGGTTTCACCATGTTAGCAAGGATCTGACCTCATGATCCGCCTGCCTTGGCCTCCCAAAGTGCTGGGATTGCAGGCGTGAGCCACCGCTCCCAGCCGACCTTACTATTCTTTATTTGAAGATTATGTATGATCTCAGGAGATGTTTATGGGATCAAGTTGACAAGGATTGGACTTGTGATGGTTAATACTGGGAGTCAACTTGATTGGATTAAAGATGCAATATTGGTCCTGGGTGTGTCTAAAGGTGTTGCCAAAAGAGATTAACATTTGAGTCAGTGGGCTGGGGAAAGCAGACCCAACCTTAATCTGGGTTGGCACCATCTAATCGGCCACCAGCGAATATAAAACAGGCAGAAAAATGTGAAAAAACTATTCTGGCCTATCCTCCCAGCCTACATCTTTCTGCCGTGCTGGGTGCTTCCTGTCCTTGAACATCGGGCTCCATGTTCTTCAGTTTTGGGACTCGGAGTGGCTCTCCTTGCTCCTCAGGTTACAGACAACTTGTTGTGGGACATTGTGATCATGTGAGTTTACAGTTAATAAAATCCCCTTATGTATATATAGTTATTAGTTCTGTCGCTCTAAGAGAACCCTAATACAGTCTGCTTCCCCTCATATTCATCAAATTTCTGTCTCAATAAGTCAAAGAAGGAGGCAGAGTTTGTATTTTATTTCTAGGCATCAGGAAACACATTGTTTCCCTAGTCTAGTGTCTAGTTAGAAAAAACTAGGAAGAATGATATATAGGAGATGTGCTGATAAGTGTTTAATGCTCTGATATATATATTTATAAAAAAGCTAATTTTTAGTGGTTGCCCATTTCCATTGTGTAAGTACTCCCACCATGGCCAATCTCAAGCTACTAACAGGATGTTACTAGACTCAGAGTTGGCAAGAGATGCATGCATATGATCAGCTCTTATGAGCTGGTATGAACAGCTTCAGCACACTACTGGACATAATTGGGACAAAGGGCTAGAGACTGTATTATATACTCCTTATGTTCAGCATTATGGTCTCTCAACTATCTTTTCTTTAGCTACTGCTGCATAGTGTTACAATTAAGTGAAATGTGACGGTACCTAACTTCAGCTGTTGCCCATATCCCTTGCTTTCTGAGGCCTCAACCTGAGATGCCATGAGAATTGCTAGCTGCTTGTGTATGTAGTAACTGAACATGTGAAGATGTTAACATGCAATGGGCTCACCTTTGGTCAATGAGAAATAGGTAATGGCAGATAAATTATCCCTTTTCCTCTCACAATCAGACAGTTTTGAATTATAGTTTACATAGATCTTTATGTAAGGCAGGGAGGGGTGTGTGCTCCCACCAGGACTGGGGGATAGTTGTCTACAGTTTTACCTGATCCGTAATGTAAGCTTGCATTAGTTGTCAGTACATACTTGTTTCACTTTTATCAAATTAACAACCTGCACAAAACCTTTTTTTCAAGATCTTCTTTCTGGAAAAACAAGCTTAGGAGTCCTTAACATCTTCCTGTAATTCAGTTATTGAAGTCTATGAGGATAGACTGAGGTGACACCAAATAGCATTGAGTCAGTTTTGCTGTTAGTCAACTTTCTATCTCTATGGATTTGCCTTTTCTGAACATTTTATATAAATAGGGTTATATAATATGGAGTATTTCATGACTGACTTCTTTCACTTAACATACTGTTTATAAGGTTTTAACTATATTGTAGCATATTTCAGTACTTCATTTGTATGATGGAATAATATTCCATTGTATAAATGTATCACATTTTGTTTACCTGTTTGTCAGTTGATGAACATTTGGGCTGTTTCCATTTTGGAATCATTGTAAATAATGCTGCCATGAACATTTGTGTATGTGTTTGTGGGTGGACATATGTTTTCAATGCTCTTGGATACATAACTACTAGAGAAATATCTGCTAATTCTATGTTTAACAATTTGAAGAACATTCAAACTGTTTTCCAGAGTCACTGCACCGTTTCACAATCCCATTAGCAATGTATGTGGAGTTCCAATTTTTCCACACCATACCAATTCTTGTTATTTTCTGTATTTTTTTATTTTAGCCATCTTAGTAGATTGAAATGGAATGTCATTGTGGTTTTGATTTTCATTTCCCTAATGACTAATTATATCAAAAATTATTTTGTGCATTTATTGTCTGTTTTTGCATCTTCTTTGGAGAAGTTAGATGTATCTATTTTTTTTCTTTTGTTACTGCATCAGCATTAGAGAATTCATCTTTTTAAAAACTTCTTATTGTTGTAGTAGTAGAGAAAGTTCTTTTTTTTTATGGGTATTGCAAAGCATTTGGTTATAGCCTTCAGAACAGCAGGGAAAACCTAGTGAGATTATGCAATAATAATAAGATCTATTCCAGCTCTTTATTATTTGAATATGTTTTCCATATTAAGAAAGATGATGGGACTAATTCATTACTTGGCTTCTGAGAGCTAATATTCAGGCCCTATGGCTCTGTTCTTTTAGAGAGAAGGTAATTAGCTGAAGATATGTAGTTTGCCCAAGATCACCCAGCAAGTTATTGGCATAATAGGAATGTGAACACATGGGCTCTCGGTTTCCCATCTGTTGCCTAGTACATTTGGCTGCTTTGCTAGGAGTGGGTGTATGTATGTATATTTATGTTGCATTTCAGGAATGAGCAAAAGAAAGTGGGATGGTGTGTGCATTGTTTCAAATAGAAACAGGAAAGTGGACATGATGTCATTTTTTCTTTCTTTACGCACTTAAAAATATATTAAAGTGGTAAAGGTGATTCTAACACTCTAAAAGACAAATGAATGGCATTGTAACTCATCACATCATATTTCAAGTTTTTGGATATCTAATTCTTTACTAATTTAAATACAGCTAAATAAAGCAGTAAAAACTGATTTCATGCTCTTAACAACTTTAATTCTTATGAACTCTACAGACATGCAGATATTTGAAGGTGAACATGGGTAAACTAAGCAGTAAACCCATACCTCCTTGTGTTCTGACACCTTGCTTCAATATTGAGAATCAGCACACAAATAAAAAGATTCTGGTAATGCTATTTATGCAGAATATTCTTTTACCTTTTAAATAAATGATCTCTCCCTACAGCAACATGAAGACTATAAATGAGAATAATCTTATTGTACAAATGTAGGAAAAAATTATCTAAAACAAAAGCAACCTAAAGAAATATAAAGGATGCTCTTTTTGTGTTTTTAGAGATAATCATATTCATTTTCTACCTACTTTCTTTAGAATAAAAATACACTCCATGACAGACTATTAAGATAGCATATAAGATCAATTTACATAAAACAATGGTAGCTATACATAGGCTAGCTAGCATGTTCCTCTTCTCTTCAAATACCTCAAAGTGAAAAGTTTTAAAGTAAAAAAACCTGAATGGTATTTATACTAATTGTTCAAAATATATTGAATTTTTCTATTTAGGGCATCACTGTATTTTACGTTTCAATTATTTTATTAAGTGTGCTTTATTTTAGAAGTGAATTTAAAAGGCCAGTATTATATGTCAAATTAAAGCATATTGGGAATGTCATAGTTAATATTCATTTACTAATTTTAGCTAATATATAAAATTATAGAATATATAAAATTATATATTATGGAATACATATAATTATATATAAAAATATAAAATTATAGAAATCTACATTTAGAATTACCAGTTTAATATATAAAAATTAGAAATGACACATTTTCTGGATAGACTTATAAATCATGCACCACACCTTGATATATGTGGAAACTGTATCCTATATAGAGAAACTTGACAACCAGCAGCATACTGGATGTAAATGCAGTCTAAGTAACTATGTAGCCATCATGTAGACCTCTTTGATTTTTGAATAAAAGTAAAACAAAGATGTTATCATTATAGTTTCTCTAATTTCTTTTGAAGAAATAATCATAACAATAATCAAAATAGAAGAAACTTAAATAAACTGGTTGCATAACTTGTTGGAATATGATATACAAACCAAACAAAAAGAAATCAATATAGCAACACAATGTAAAATTAATATTTGCTATGAGGTATAAAAGAATATTATTTTTTGTAAAGAAATGTATTCATTTAAATTAGAAAACCGTTCTAGTTTGTTGGAGGTCTTCATCATGACCCCTGTGGATTCTCTGGGCCAACCTGTCATTGGTATGTACCCTCTAAAGAATGCCAACTACTTAAGGTATTCTCTAACAATCTCCTTATTATTTATGCAGTTTCTACTTTTACAATATATGTGTCAACTTCAAGGTTTTCAAGGTGATTCAAGAACTGTAAATTAACCTGGTAATATAAATTCCAAAACCATGCCAAAGGGTAGAAAATGAACACTTATTTTTTGTTCAGTTGTAGCATCGTGCACAAAAGAGTGATTTGGCAGCAGTGACAAGTGACTTAGCATATGACACTTTGAGGCCAAACATCTTCCAGGAAGTGTAGGATTCCAGATTTTTTTCTGCTAGGCTGGGGGCTATGGAGCCTGCGAGAAGTGACTTTCAAGCCTCAGGCAGCTAAAGCTCAAGAAAATAGAAGATAAGTGGGTTTGGCAATGATACCAGATAAAAAAATATAGTTGGACTTATGGTAAACTATTTTTATATTTCCCACTATCTACTGTTCCTTCCCAGAGATCTACTTTTCTTTTCCTTTACCACTTTCTATCCAAGACAGTTAAGGAAGCATACAACAATAACACTATGAAACAGCGAGGTTGACAAGAAAGGCTCTTCTAACACTGAGGTCTAGAAGTAAAAGCACTGTAAAATGGAATCAAGAGAATAGGCAAAGAAATAGACATGTTAATTAGCTTGATTTAATTTTTCTACAGTGTATGTGTGTGTTCATGTATCAAAACATCATATTTTGCCCCATAAATATGTACAAATGTTATTTACCAATTAAAAATTTTGAATTATTTAAAAAAAGAGTACGGACTCTAGTCCAGGGAGTCTCTGAGTGTCTATTGTTTTTTAAATAAAATGTGATATATACATAGCATTTTACATAGAGACACAAGATAAATTTTATCTACAATTCCGTTATTCTATATTCTTTATTTTATAATAATTTTCTACACAGTTCTTGTCATTATACATGGTGCCACTTGTTTCTTTCCATCAGCTGCCATTTTTTACAACAGTTCTTTTAGATATAATATATACCCTAATTTTATTCTATATTTTTGCTTATACTGTAACAATAGACTTCTTTTCACATAACATACCAGAAGCTTTTACTAAAATATGCACTTTGATTTTCTAGTCGTTTATGCATAGCTGCAGTCACACTATTTACCTTCAAGTGCTGTAAGTCAAAGTGTTAAACTAGAGTTTTTTGACTCCTCTCAGTAGCATAAACATGTGACTTTAGCTTGAAACATATCCCTACAAAAAGATAAAATGTTGTCACAGCCTCTGCTGAACTTGTCATCTTTTGTAGAAATGTCTTTTCCTGTTTCAGATCCAAGTGTTTTATGGTACAAGTAACTGCTGAGATTTTTAAAAGAGCTATTAAATAGTATTAAACTTATGTTCATAAATTTGAAAACATATTAAAATAGATGCATTTCTTCACCTATATGATGCTAAAATTGGCAGAAGAAACAGAAAGCTTGAAAGAAAGATTATCATTATGTAATTTAAAATGTTAGAGAAAAATAATTCTGTACTTCACCCCTCCACCACACACAAAAAAACTTCAGCCCTATGGCCTTTTACAGGTGAGTTCTACTATAGTTTCTTTTATAAAATTTTTATTTTTAAAAAAATTCACAGATAAAATTGTATATATTTTTGGTGTACAACATGATGTTTTATAATATATATATATGCATTGTAGAATAGCCAAATCAAACAAAATTACATATCTATTACCTCATATGTTTGCCATTTTTATTGTGAGGATATTTACAATCTACTCTGCTAGCATGTTTCAGGAATACAATATATTCTTTTTAACTATAGTCATCCGTGTTGTACAACAGACCTCTTGAACTTATTACTCCTATATAACTCAAATTTTGTAATCTTTTTCCAACATTTTCTCAACCTCTTCCCCACTACTGACCCAGCATCTAGTAACCACCATTCTATTCTCTACTTCTATGAGATCAATTTTTTAGATTCCATATATGACTGAGATTATGTGGTATTTGCCTTGCTGTGACTGGATTATTTCTCTTAATGTAGTGTTCTCTAGGTTCATTCATGTTGTCTAAAATTTTAAAAAATCATTTTTTTATGGCTGAATATATTCCATAGTGTATATGTACCATATGTTATTTATCCATTCATCCATTGATGGATATTTGTGCTGATACCGTAACTTGGATATTGTGAATAATGCTGCAATAAAAATGGAAGTGCAGACATCTCTTGAAAAGACTGCTTTCATTTCTTTTGGATATATGCCAAGAAGTGGGGTTGATGAATTATATTGTAATTCTGCTTTTAATATTTTGAGAAATTCCCATCCTTTTTGCATAATGACTATACTAATTTATATCAACAGAGTGCAAGTGTTCCTTTTTACCCAAATTGTCACCAACACTTATTTGTCTTTTTCACAATAGCAATTCCAACAGGTATAAGGTAACATGTCATTGTAGTTTTAATTTGCATTTCCCTGATGATTAGTAATGTTGAACATTTTTTCGTATACCTATTGGCCAGTTGTATGTCTTCATTTAAGAAATGTCTATTCAGGTCTACGCCCATTTTTAAGTTGGATTATCTGTTTTCTTTTTATTGACTTGTTTGAGCTCCATATATATATATGTACACACACAATTCTATGTATATACTTATATATGTATATATATGTATACACTTATATATGTGTGTGTGTATATATATGTGGCTTGTATATGTGTGTGTGTGTGTGTATATATACACACACACACACATATGGCACTATCTTGACTCACTGCCTCTAACCTCCCAGGTACAAGTGATTCTTCTGTCTCAACCTCCCAAGTAGCTCGGATTACAGGGATGTGCCACCATGCCCAGCTAATTTTTTTGTATTTAGTAGAGATGAGGTTTCACCATGTTAGTCAGGCTGGTTACAAAATCCTGACCTCAGGTGATCCACCCACCTTAGCCTCTCAAAGTGCTGGGATTGCAGGCGTGCACCACCACGCCAGGCCGAGCTCCGTATGTATTTTTAATATCAACCCCTTATCTGATGTATGTTTTTTTAGGTTGTCATTTTGCTCTGTTGATTTGTTTGATTGGCTCTGCAGAAGCTTTTTAGTTTGATGTAATCCCATTTATCTAATTTTGCTTTTGTTGCCTGTGTTTTTGAAGTCTTATCCAAAAAAATTATTGCCCAGGTTAATCTCATGAAGATTTCCACCTAGTTTTCTTCTAACGGTTTAATAGTTTCAGGTCTTATATTTACGTCTTTAATCCATTTTTTATATTTATTTTATTCATTTATTTTTTAAAAAAATTATATTGATTTTTGTATATGGTATAAGATAAGGGCCTAATTATATTCTTCTGCCTGTGGAGATCCAGTTATCCCAGCAATATGGTTAAAAATCAGTTGGCTATAAATGCATGGGTTTATTTCTGGGCTCTGTATTCTGTTCCATTGGTCTATGTGTTTATTTTCAGGTCAGTACCATGCTGTTTTGGTTACTAGAGCTTTGCAGTATATTTTGAAGACAGATAATGTGATGTTTTCAGCTTGTTCTTTTAGTTAAACATAGCTTTGACTATTTAGGGTCTTTTGTGGATCCATAAAAATTTTATGATTTATTTTATTTCCATGATAAAAATGTCTTTGGAATTTTCATAGGGTTTTCATTGAATCTGTAGATTACTGTGAGTAGTATGGAATTTTAAAAAATATTAATTCTTCCATTCCATGGACATAGATGTTTCAATTTATTTTTGTTTTCTTCAATTTTTTTTCACCAGTATTTTCTAGTTGGTGTACAGAACTTTCACCTCTTGGTTAAATTTATTCCTAAATTTTTATTTTTTGTAGTTATTGAAAAATGAAACTTTTCCAGATTTGTTTTCCAATAGTTCACTATTCATGTATAAAAATATTATAATTTTTGTGCATCGATTTTGTATCCTAAATCTTTCTGAATTTATTTGTTAGTTCTAAGAATTTTTTGTGGAGTTTCAGTCTTCTCTGTATGAGATCATGGTATCTACAAAGAGATACAATTTAACTTCTTCAATTCCAATTCTAATGCCTTTTATCTCTTTTTTTAGTTTAATTGCTCTGGCTAGAGCTTCCAGTGCTATGTTGAATAGAAATGGTGAGAGCGGGTATCTTTATTTTGTTTTGGATCTTAGAAGAAAAGCTTTCAGTTTTCCCCATTGAGTATAATGTTTGTTGTGGCCTTGTAATATCTGGCCTTTATTGTGCTGTGGTACATGCCTTTTATATGTTATTTGTTAACAGCTTTTATCATGAAAAGTTGTTTAATTTAGTCAGTTGCTTTTTTTGCATCTTCTGAGATTATCATTTTATTTTTATCTTTCATTCTGCTAAGCTTGTATTTCACATTTATAGATTTGAGTATGTTGAATCATCCTTGCATCCCGGGGTGAATCCCACATAATCACGGTAAATTATCTTTTTAATGTGCTGTTGAATTGGCTTGCTAGAATTTTACTGAGGATTTTCTACTATACTTTCAGTTAACAGAAAATCACTCTTTTAGAGAACTTCTCTGTAATACAAGAAAAGAGGAAAACTTGGCAAAACATTTTACAAAAATGAGGTAAAGGTAAACCAAGAAAAGGGAATTATATGCCAATCTCACATATTGATACAGATGCACAATATCTTAATGTAACAAATTTCTTGATCTAATGAGAAATTAAAATCAATCAGCTATGATCAGGTAAAATTTATCCCAGAATTTGCAAAATTACTTTATTACCAAAAATCTTAAAATATTTTAATACAAATTGGACTACATCATACAAACAAGAGCAAATGGCCAAATAGTACATAGACTGTACTTGTTTGAGCAGCATTTAATAATTTCACTTTTTTCTATTTCATTTCACAAGCTACTAAAAGATTATAAAAACTGGAGTAGTAGCAGTTGCATGGTTTGCCTTTGTCCATTGCTTCCATAGTAGAACAGAATGCCTAGTGGGGTGGATACAAGATTACAGGAAGGAGATCTCAGTGCTTACATTATAAGGTCCTTAAGATGCATAGATGACAAGGATAAACCAAACCCAAACTTATTGCTATATGCACTGGGTTGTAGCTATCCTACTGCATTTATTACTGAAACACCATCATGCAGTGTAAGTCCTGCTGCTCACTGCACAAAAAAACAATCACTGAGACAACAATTATTGCCAAAGAAGAAGGCTTTAATCAGGTGTTGCAGGAGGAGATGGGAGATCAATCTAAATTCCATCTCCCTGATTAACTAAAATTAGAGGATTATATAGCAGGGTAGAAATGTAACTATGTATGAGAAAACAGGAACTCAGGAGGGGTAAGGAAGCAGTCAGTCACAATGAATGAGGGGTCTGGAGTCTCAATGTCTGGATGTGATAATCTGGTGAAATTCAGTTCTTTGATACTTTTTGAGAGGCCTGGGGGTCTCTTCCTGAGGAAGGAACTCAGATAAAACAAATGTAAGCTTCAAGCTTTAAGACAAAAAGGGCCAATTTCTATGTTTATTTTAAAAAAACAGACACTGTCTATGGGACTCTTGGGCCAATTTAAGTCCCCCCTTTGTATTCATCAATATTGATAATATTGATAAATCAATATTGATTTTTATTGATAAATAGAAAGGGGGAATTGAAACCAGCCCAAGAGTTTTTTATTATTTGGGGAATCTGGTCATTGATCTTTTCTGGCTGCTTCATGCTGAGGAGGGACATCATGGACAGCTCCATTCCATAGGTGACCATGTGGCCACCCAGGAATCAAAGATTAATCTAATACTGTAGTTTTCTTGTAAAATACAATTTTTCTCTCTCTAGTCCCCCACTTCCACCAAAGACAAATTACAGCAGGACCAACCTACTTGTGAAATAAGTTTCAGTCCCATATACTTGCCCTGATTACCCACATAAAGTACAGCAAGAATCATTGTCCATGTAGGCTCTACTAAACTGGCTTTGCTGGAATCTCTCACAAAGCCATTTCAGTCAAAGCCCTGGGAAAATTACCAGTTCCTCCAATTGGGGTCCATTATAAAAGAAAAGGAGTTCTTATTAAATGTATGCAAACAAACACATTGCCATTAATTAAGAATATTCACAAATACTTTGTTCTGGATAAATTAGGCAGAGAGATAAATATGCCCCAAATTCTATTTATAAAAGTATACTCTATATACTTAAAGTACATTTTAAGGCTATAAATAGCTGAAATGAAAAGAAAAATTCTCCAAATTCTGAAAAACAAAAGAATCAGCAATATTTTGAACAAAAACAGCCATGAAAAAGCCCTTCAATCAACACTTGCTCTGCTTCATATTGGGCAGGCAATCATTATGAACACATCAGCCTTTTAATTAGAGTCCTGGAGGTTTTATGTAATACAGTAGCACTATCTCCAAAGTTATCAGAAACCTGCATTCAAAAGTTATTTCCATGAACTCCCCCGAAGATGCAAGCTCTGGATTGTAGCTTATTATAAGTCACCTTTTGAAGAGAATCCAAGCAAAACAACAATTTTGAAAGACACAAGTCTTAGAACAGCCATAATAAAAGACACAGTTGACAAGGACATACAACAGTTTAGCACAATTTCTGTGGCATAAGATAATTTAACACAATAATTATAATTAGTACTGAGAACATATATTAAGACGTATCAGAATTTCAGGAATGTCATATAAGCCTGGAACACATATTAACAACATACCTATATAAATATAACCCTCAGAAAGCTAAATACCACTTCACATTTGAAAATTCTTCCTGTATAATTCTAATATAACAAATAAACCTAATAAGCCTAATATATCTTTCTTGGACTTCAGGGAACTTAATATCCAAAAATGTTGATTTAAGATCAAAGGGACTGAATTTAGAACTTGAAATTTTGTTATTAGAAAGTTTGTAAAATATCAAAGGTCTAAGACACTCAATATCACAAAATAGGATCACAAGTTACTATAAAATAGTCATTCATCTAGGAAAAATTATCATTCAAAGTGTTTACTCTCTTTGACAGAGAGGAGACCAGTTTCCTAAACAATAAGACCTGATAAAAACAGCATGAGGCCAACTCTATCTGTCTCTCCTTCTCTCTATTTTTTTCTTCTGTAGTATTACTCAAAATGTAGTCAAAAATATCTTATTATCCTGTACATGAAAATATTGTTCAAAAGAAAAAAACCACATTTTACCTTTGTCTTGTATATTACTGACATTAAAGCTAATTTTAGTAAAATCTTATAAACAGGTCTTTCAAATTTTAATCAGTTCAATCATAAAGTAAGATTCCCATAAACTTTTTATAACCATTTCCAGTTTTCTATTAAGGAGCCGATCAATGCTCCAAGAAAATTCTGTTATTCTGACACATGGGCCCAGATACTGGCCTTGCATGAGTGTGTTTCTAATATTGATATTTAATTTATAGAAAAACTCTGAACTAATCTTATCCCTCAAAATCAGCCCTTACAATCTCACATGCCCACCTCTTCCTCAATTAGTCCCTGAGCCTATAGGGATTGATAGTTTTAATTTCTGGCCCCCATGTCTCATGAAAACAGTTCATTTTGATTGTTACCTTCTCCCAGGTCTGAAGACAAGTCTTTAACTTGTGTCATTACTCAAGATTTATCAGGGGTTGGTGCCTTTTTTAGACCCAGGAGTCAAAGGCCAGTGACTTAACAGAACAAGGATTAGTTAATAGATTACTCATGTCACAAGTGACAATACTATGGTTTGGTTTCTAAGAGTTATTGCCTGCCTGCAGCACTTCAAATCACTGCATTTCAGTGGTTAGGTTACTCACTGCATATTTCTAGTTGCTAGCATTCTAGTGACAGAACTGTGTCCAAAGATATCAAAAGTGTGATGATTTGGGTCCCATGGAAAATTTATCAAAGTAAAACAACTAACTTTTCTGTCCATCAATTTTTCAAAGTAAATGTAAATACCAGTAAATTTTATACAACAAAACAGGGAAAAAGTAAGAACAAGCACACAGTTATTTCTTTTCAGCTATTTTAAAGGAGCATTATCACATATTTCCAAGATTAGTTCCTAGATACAGTACTGACAACTGATTATGTAACTTCCACCACTAAAATCTTCTTACCAGTACAAAAGTTGTACATATTTTGTTTTCAAGTACATACATGAAGGCCCATTACTGATTAACGGCTTGGATCAAAGATCACTAGAAAGTCTCACAATTTTTTATTACTACTTAATCCAAGTGAATATCAGTTAATTTTAATAAAGGTAAACACAACTGAATTAGTTCAAGAGAAATACCAATCACTTAAGGACAAGGCTAATCTTTCCTGAACATTAAAATTTTGCACCCACATTGCAATTTTTCATTACCTAAAGAAAAAATCTAAAGCAAACTCAAATTATTGATTGAAATGAATTATCTAATTACCTTGGAAATAAATGCATTTTAAACATTTTTATTCTCACCTCATTTTTCAAGTAACAAAATAAATAGTGCGCTATTTCTGCTCAAAACTTGTATAAATAAGTCTTTTATTTATTTATCTATTTATTTTTGCCAGGATCCTTAAAGCTCTTGTATCTCTCTAGATAACCAAAGGTAAGCAAAACCAACCAAATTTTAAATGGCTGATGTGCACTACCATTTTTTTGCAGGCTTGACAAAGGTAGTTTAAGAATTCTAGAAAAAGAGAACAAATGATGGCTTGTTAGAAATGCATAGGAAACAACATGACTATTTATAGAACCAAATAAAAGACTTCTACTAGAAAACAGAAAATATCAATGGTTATATATATATATATGTATATGTACGTAGAACCTAAAGGAGAACAAACAGCAAATAAATAAAAATTAAAGACAAAAGCCAATAAACAGGAAACCAACTCCAAATTTTTACCCTACTCAGTTAACCTTGGAGGCTAACATGTTACCCAGAGCCTTAAAAAAGATGATGGATATTTCATTCCTCCACACTAATTAATGTCTTTAAGTCTACCAATACCACCATACATTTTATGCAATTAAGAAACTCACGTTAGGTACATGACCAGTAAGTACTTCAGTGCTAGTATTATCTACGCAGAAGAGCAAACACGTTGTGAAACAAAGCAATGAGAGCATTTATGTGAAATTTGGCTCCATGTTAAATCTGGCTTTCTGCTTAACTGTGTTAAAAAATGAATTGCCAATTACCCATTGTATTTCATTATAACATTTCTTAATTTACCTTCATTGAGACTAAGAGCTTTAACTATGATGAATGTGAATTAGCCAAATTTCTCCAAGTTTCTATCAGATTTTAAAGAATATTTTACTATCTACATTTTTTCAGCTTTCTATTTTCTTTGTATGTGCATAAAGAGAGACATAGAGAAACCAGCAAAAAAACTCATATGACTTTCACAGACCATCTATGATATGCTTGGGCTTTCTGATTTGTCCTAAATTTTCTTTTCTTTTTTAATAACCAGTCGTTTTATTTTAGGACAAAAATTCACCATACAAGATCCTTTCTCATATAAAATTATTCTCTTTTCTCTATAGCCTTCCTTACCAAAAGTATATCTTCATATTCATAACTGTTTTCTCTCTCTCCAATTACTGGTTCCTTTCTATATTGTTTCATAAATAACCTTTTCAAGTCTATATTTTTAAACTGTTAAATAACTTCCGAATTAGAAAAAAATTATTATTATTATTTTTTTTTTTTGAGACAGTGTCTTGTTCTGTCATCCAGGCTGCAGTGCAGTGGCATGATCTCAGCTCACTGCAACCTCCGTGTCCCTGATTCAAGTGATTCTCCTGCCTCAACCTCCTGAGTAGCTGGGATTACATCCATGTGCCACCACACCAGGCTAATTTTTGTATTTTCAGTTGGTCAGGCTGGTAGCGAACTCCTGATCTCATGATCTGCCTGCCTCGGCCTCCCAAAGTTCTGGGATTACAGGTGTGAGCCACTGTGCCCAGTGACAAAATTATTCTTCTAACTAGAAACATATCTTTTTTAGCACATATTATATGCACTATTATATATTAACTATAATTCTTATCTTTACTAATCTTCAATTTTAGTGAAACCTTAGAAAGCAAGAAATTCTGAAGTATCAGACATTAGCATTTTATAGATGAGAACAATTGCACAATTTATAGAAACATATTTTTCCATATCATAATCCTTCCTTAATTGGAAATGATTCAGACAGCCAATGAGCATCAAAAAATTTTTTTAAGATTTAAATTACACAAAAAATTCACCTATGATGCTTACCCATTTACGTCTCTTTTTTATTTTTGGCAGTTTATCTAGATTGTTAATGCATTACTTACTTTCTTGTTAACAACTTTGTAATCTGTGGATATCAGGTGTTCACCTAAATAAGAACCTTAAAGTTAGCTACATGTGCATTTTCACCAATAACTCAAAAGATTTAGGTATTTTAATTAAACCAGTAATATTAGTCTTATCAAAAAAATCACACAAAGAGAAATCTTTTTGTTCAACTGGGTTTATAGTTTTATAACCTGTCCCAATCCCTCACATCTCAAAATATCTAGCACAGGCAAATATAAAACCCAGACAAAAATGTGTGCTGACAATGCTGAAGACATTTCTATTTCTATTTTACCAATAATTCTAAAGCCAGCTTATTAAATATTTACTTAAGTCACATGAACTTGAAAAATACTTTGGACTCATTTACCTCACTTATGAGTGCTCTTTTATTCATAAGACAATTTGGTAGACATAAAATAAAACATAATAAATGTACATAGACATGAACACATCTAGACATGCACACACACATATAAACAAAGATCCAATAGCTTTAACTCAGAACTCTAGCCATGAGATAGCAACACAGACTCACTGGTTTACATGGCTAGAATTGATTTGTCCCAATAGGTAATCCAATGAATTCTGTGAACTGAAATTTTGGGTAAATTAGTTTTCATGTCAGTTTGATTTTTAAAGGCCAAACCTCCCCAGACTCCAAAGAATACTGGGGCCAAACACCACCAAACAATATCACATACTAACCAGGCCTGACCCTGCTTAGAAGAACATCACAATAGCCTCGGTTCATGGAACTCCATCCCACTTTCCCATTCGACAGCAAACTCCAGATTCCAAACAATGTTGGGGCCAAGTTGTATTACAAAAGAATATCACTTTATGGAATTTGAATTTCCCATGATACACACACAGTTTCCAAAATTGAAATCCAACTGCCGAAGCAACCAACAAGCCTCAAGAGTGTCCAGACTGAAACAGTCAACAGTCAGGTGCTTTTTCTCTCCATTGGTTCAGTTTGATCAACCTGCAAATAAAAATTCTTTAGGAAATTCCCAAATTGAGAGGAGCTTATCTCACTGTCTGATACTCAAAAAGACACTCACCTGTCAGGGAGAAGATAAAAATATTCTCTATCATAAGTACTGTTTCTATTTTCCTGAAATCCAGGCCAAAAACATGTGACATGAAAATTAAATAAGAGGTATAAAAATTGGAAGGAAGAGGAGGCAAAATTGGCCTAATGTAGAAACAGTATGATAATTGGGGGAGGTTCCAAGATGGCTGAATAGGAACAACTCCAGTCTACAGCTCCCAGCGTGAGCAGTGCAGAAGACGGGTGATTTCTGCATTTCCAACTGAGGTACCGGGTTCATCTCACTGGGGCTTGTCGGACAGTGGGTGCAGCCCACGGACCATGAGCCAAAGCAGGGCGAGGCATCGCCTTACCTGGGAAGTGCAAGGGGTCGGGGAATTGTCTTTCCTAGCCAAGGGAAGCCGTGACAGACGGCACCTGGAAAATCAGGTCACTCCCACCCTAATACTGTGCTTTTCCAACGGCCTTAGCAAATGGCACACTAGGAGATTATATCCTGCGCCTGGCTCAGAGGGTCCTACGCCCACTGAGCCTCACTCATGGCTAGCACAGCAGCCTGAGATCGAACCGCAAGGTGGCAGCGAGGCTGGGGGAAGGACGCCTGCCATTGCTGAGGCTTGAGTAGGTAAACAAAGTGTCCTGGAAGCTCAAACTGGGTGGAGCCCACCGCAGCTCAAGGAAGGCTGCCTGCCTCTGTAGACTCCACCTCTGGGGGCAGGGCATAGCTGAACAAAAGGCAGTAGAAACTTCTGCAGACTTCAACGTCCCTGTCTGACAGCTTTGAAGAGAGTAGCGCTTCTCCCAACACGGAGTTTGAGATCTGAGAACGGACAGACTGCCTCCTCAAGTGGGTCCCTGACCCCTGAGTAGCCTAACTGGGAGGCACCTCCCAGTAGGGGCCGATTGACACCTCATAAGGCCGGGTGCCCGTCTGAGACGAAGCTTCCAGAGGAACGATCAGGCAGCAACATTTGCCGTTCTGCAATATTTGTGGTTCTGCAGCCTCCACTGGTGATACCCAGGCAAACAGGGTCTGGAGTGGACCTCCAGCAAGCTCCAACAGACCTGCAGCTGAGGGTCCTGACTGTTAGAAGGAAAACTAACAAACAGAAAGGACATCCACACCAAAACTCCATCTGTACGTCACCATCATCAAAGACCAAAGGTAGATAAAACCACAAAGATGGGGAGAAACCAGAGCAGAAAAGCTGAAAATTCTAAAAATCAGAGCACCTCTTCTCCTCCAAAGGAATGCAGCTCCTCACCAGCAACAGAACAAAGCTTGTCAGAGAATGACTTTGAAGAGTTGAGAGAGAAGGCTTCAGACGATCGGTAATAATAAACTTCTCCAAGCTAAAGGAGGATGTTTGAACCCATCACAAAGAAGCTAAAAACCTTGAAAAAAGATGAGATGAATGGCTAACTAGAATAAACAGTGTAGAGAAGACCTCAAATGACTTGATGGAGCTGAAAACCATGGCACGAGAACTACGTGATGCATGAACAAGCTTCAGTAGCTGATTCGATCAACTGGAAGAAAGGGTATCAGTGATTGAAGATCAAATGAATGAAATGAAGCCAGAAGAGAAGTTTAGAGAAAAAAGAGTAAAAGGAAATGAACAAAGCCTCCAAGAAATATGGGACTATGTGAAAAGACCAAATCTACATCTGATTGATGTACCTGAGAGTGACAGGGAGAATGGAACCAATTTGGAAAACATTCTTCAGTATATTAACCAGGAGAACTTCCCCAACCTAGCAAGGCAGGCCAACATTCAAATTCAGGAAATACAGAGAACGCCACAAAGATACTCCTCGAGAAGAGCAACTCCAAGACATATAATTGTCAGATTCACCAAAGTTGAAATGAAGGAAAAAATATTAAGGGCAGCCAGAGAGAAAGGTCGGGTTACCCACAAAGGGAAGCCCATCAGACTAACAGCTGATCTCTCGGCAGAAACTCTAAAAGCCAGAAGAGAATGGGGACCAATATTCAACATTTTTAAATAAAAGAATTTTCAACCCAGAATTTCATATCCAGCCAAACTAAGCTTCATAAATGAAGGAGAAATAAAATCCTTTACAGACAAGCAAATGCTGAGAGATTTTGTCACCACCAGGCCTGCCTCACAAGAGCTTCTGAAGGAAGCACTAAACATGGAAAGGAACAATCAGTACCAGCCACTGCAAAAACATGCCAAATTGTAAAGACCGTCAAGGCTAGGAAGAAACTGCTCAACTAATGAGCAAAATAACCAGCTAACGTCATAGTGACAGGATCAAATTCACATACAACAATGTTAACCTTAAATGTAAATGGGTTAAATGCTCCAATTAAAAGACACAGACTGGCAAATTGGATGAAGAGTCAAGACCCATCAGTGTGCTGTATTCAGGAGACCCATCTCAAGTGCAGAGACACACATAGACTCAAAATAAAGGGATGGAGGAAGATCTACCAAGCAAATGGAAAACAGAAAAAAGCAGGGGTTGCAATCCTAGTCTCTGATAGAACAGAGTTTAAACCAACAAAGATCAGAAGAGACAAAGAAGGCCATTACATAATAGTAAAGGGATCAATTCAACAAAAAGAGCTAACTATCCTAAATATACATGCACCCAATACAGGAGCACCCAGATTCATAAAGTAAGTCCTTAGAGACCTACAAAGAGACTTAGACTCCCATGCAATAATAATGGGAGACTTCAATACCCCACTGTCAACATTAGACAGATCCATGAGACAGAAAGTTAACAAGGATATCCAGGAATTGAACTCAGCTCTGCACCAAGCGGACCTAATAGACATCTACAGAACTCTCCACCCCAAATCAACAGAATATACATTCTTCTCAGCACCACATTGCACTTACTCAAAATGGACCACATAGTTGGAAGTAAAGCACTCCTCAGCAAATGTAAAAGAACAGAAATTATAACAAACTGTCTCTCAGACTACAGTGCAATCAAACTAGAAGTCAGGATTAAGCAACTCACTCAAAACCACTCAACTACATGGAAACTGATAAACCTGCTCCTGAATGACTACTGGGTACATAATGAAATGAAGGCAGAAATAAAGATGTTCTTTGAAACCAATGAGAACAAAGACACAACATACCAGAATCTCTGGGACACATTTAAAGCAGTGTGCAGAGGGAAATTTATAGCACTAAATGCCCACAAGAGAAAGCAGGAAATATCTAAAATTGACACCCTAACATCACAATTAAAAGAACTAGAGAAGCAAGAGCAAACACATTCAAAAGCTAGCAGAAGGCAAGAAATAACTAAGATCAGAGCAGAACTGAAGGAAATAGAGACACAAAAAAACCCTTCAAAAAATCAGTAAATCCAGGAGCTGGTTTTTTGAAAAGATCAACAAAATTGATAGACTGCTACCAAGACTAATAAAGAAGAAAAGAGAGAAGAATCAAATAGACTCAATAAAAAATGATAAAGGGGATATCACCACCAATCCCATAGAGACACAAACTACCATCAGAGAATACTATAGACATCTCTTTGCAAATAAACTAGAAAATTTAGAAGAAATTGATAAATTTATGGACACATACACCCTCCCAAGACTAAACCAGGAAGAAGTTGAATCCCTGAATAGACCAATAACAGGCTCTAAAATTGAGGCAATAATTAAGAGCCTACCAACCAAAAAAAGTCCAGGACCAGAAGGATTCGCCGCTGAATTCTTCCAGAGGTACAAAGAGGAGCTGGTACCATTTCTTCTGAAACTATTCCAATTAATAGAAAAAGAGGGAATCCTCCCTAACTCATTTTATGAGGCCAGCATCATCCTGATACCAAAGCCTGGGAGAGACACAACAAAAAAAGAGAATTTTAGACCAATATCCCTGATGGACATTGATGCAAAAATCCTCAATAAAATACTGGCAAACTGAATCCAGCAGCACATCAAAAAGCTTATCCACCAGAATCAAGTGGGCTTCATCCCTGGGATGCAAGGCTGGTTCAACATATGCAAATCAATAAACGTAATCCATCACATAAACAGAACCAAAGACAAAACCCACATGATTATCTCAATAGATGCAGAAAAGGCCTTTGACAAAATACAACAGGGCTTCATGCTAAAAACTCTCAATAAATTAGGTATTGATGGGACATATCTCAAAATAATAAGAGCTATTTATGACAAACCCACAGCCAATAGCATACTGAATGGGCAAAAACTGGAAGCATTCCCTTTGAAAACTGGCAGAAGACAGGGATGCCCTCTCTCACCACTCCTATTCAATATAGTGTTGGAAGTTCTGGCCAGGGCAATCAGGCAGGAGAAAGGAATAAAGTGTATTCAATTAGGAAAAAAGGAAGTCAAATTGTCCTTGTTTGCAGATGACATGATTGTATGTTTAGAAAACCCCAGTGTCTCAGCCCAAAAATCTCCTTAATCTGATAAGCAACTTCAGCAAAGTCTCAGGATACAAAATCAATGTGCAAAACTCATAAGCATTCCTATACACCAATAACAGACAGAGAACCAAATCATGAGTGAACTCCCATTCACAATTGCTTCAAAGAGAATAATATACCTAGGAATCCAACTTACAAGGGATTTGAAGGACCTCTTCAAGGAGAATTACAAACCACTGCTCAATGAAATAAAAGAGGACACAAACAAATGGAAGAACATTCCATGTTCATGGATAGGAAGAATCAATATCGTGAAAATGGCCATACTGCCCAAGGTAATTTATAGATTCAATGCCATCCCCATCAAGCTACCAATGACTTTCTTCACAGAATTGGAAAAAACTACTTTAAAGTTCATATGGAACCAAAAAAGAGACCGCATTGCAAAGACAATCCTAAGCCAAAAGAACAAAGCTGGAGGCATCACACCACCTGACTTCAAACTATAGTATAAGGCTACAAAACAGCATGGTACTGGTACCAAAACAGAGATACAGACCAATGGAACAGAACAGAGCCCTCAGAAATAATGCCGCATATCTACAACTATCTGATCTTTGACAAACCTGAGAAAAACGAGCAATGGGGAAAGAATTCCCTATTTAATAAATGGTGCTGGGAAAACTGGCTAGCCATGTGTAGAAAGCTGAAACTGGATCCCTTCCTTACACCTTATGCAAAAATTAATTCAAGATGGATTAAAGACTTAAATTTCAGACCTAAAACCTTAAAAACTCTAGAAGAAAACCTAGGCAATACCATTCAGGACATAGGCATGGGCAAAGACTTCATGTCTAAAACACCAAAAGCAATGGCAACAAAAGCCAAAATTGACAAATGGGATCTTATTAAACTAAAGAGCTTCTGTACAGCAAAAGAAACTACCATCAGGGTGACCAGGCAACTTACAGAATGGGAGAAAATTTTTGCTATCTACCCATCTGACAAATGGCTAATATCCAGAATCTACAAAGAACTCAAACAAATTTACAAGAAAAAAATCAAACAACACCATCAGAAAGTGGGTAGAGGATATGAACAGACACTTCTCCAAAGAAGACATTTATGCAGCCAACAGACACATGAAAAAATGCTCATCATCACTGGCCAACAGAGACATGCAAATCAAAACCACAATGAGATACCATCTCACACCAGTTAGAATGGTGATCATTAAAAAGTCAGGAAACAACAGGTGCTGGAGAGGAAGTGGAGAAATAGGAACAATTTTACACTCTTGGTGGGACTGTAAACTAGTTCAACCATCGTGGAAGACGGTGTGGTGATTCCTCAAGGATCTAGAACTAGAAATACCATTTGAACCAGCAATCCCATTACTGGGTATATACCCAAAGGATATAAATCATGCTGCTATAAAGACACATACATTGGTATGTTTATTGTGGCACTATTCACAATAGCAAAGACTTGGAATCAACCCAAATATCCATCAATGATAGACTGGATTAAGACAATGTGGCACATATACACGATGGAATACTATGCAGCCATAAAAAAGGATGAGTTCATGTCCTTTGTAGGGACATGGATGAAGCTGGAAACCATCATTCTGAGCAAACTATCGCAAGGACAGAAAAACCAAACATCGTGTGTTCTCACTCACAGGTGGAAATTGAACAATGAGAACACTTGGACACAGGATAGGAAACATCACACACCAGGGCCTGTCATGGGGTGGGGTTGGGGGAGGGATAGCATTAGGAGATATACCTAATGTAAATGACGAGTTACTGGGTGCAGCACACCACCATGGCACATGTATACGTATGTAACAAAACTGCACGTTGTGTACAGTACCCTAGAACTTAAAGTATAAAAAAAAAGAAATAGTATGATAATTAACACAGAAGAAATATACAGTAATCATAACTAATACAAAAGTTCAGCAAAGTTGTCATATATGAAATGAATGAACTTATGAAAATAGCAGTATTTATTTATACTGGCAATAACAAAGCAGTAGTGTATTTAAAAGTATCATGCTATAAAGGACAAAAATATTGTCCAGGAATTACCCTAACAAAGAATGCATTGTCCTTATTGTTCAAACTGTTAATTTATCCATAGCTGTAAAGGATAGGGTTAGCAACTGGGAGAAAATTTTACTACTCTTTCTTGTTAAACATCTTAACCACACTTCCTGTTGTTACTGGTGAAAAAATAATGGAGAGTACTAAAGTATGTGATAGATAGCAGTATTTATCTTGTATTTTAGTTTGTTTATTGTAAATAAACCTGTACTCTATGAATTACAGGACTTGGCTTCCTAGAATATAAAAAATTCTGGGGGATTAAAAAGGAAGATATTTTATAATAGAAATAACTGCCTTTTTGCAAATTTGTTCTGCATGAATCATTTGAAATCTCACATGCATAATGGAAAACATAGTTTATTCTGGCACATGAAGAAAGAAACTGGGATGCTGAAAAATTCTCAGGCATATCCATGTTTTATCTGTGCTTTGAAATTGGCTAGATTCTTTAAATTATTAGAAAATTTGCTGCTAAGAAAATCTCTATTATGAATCTGACTTGAAAGGTTGACTCTTTATTTTATATCAAAACTTAGAAACTTAAATAAATGGCAAAAGTTAATAGAGTCATGGATGGGAAACTTAACTTTTTCTTTTTTCTTTTCTTTTTTTTTTTAAAGGAGTCTCGCTCTATCACCAGACTGGAGTGCAGTGGCGTGATCTCAGCTCACAGCAACCTCCACCTCCCGGGTTCAAGGGATTTTCCTACCTCAGCCTTCGGAGTAGCTGGGACTACAAGCACACGCCACCACGCCGAGGTAATTTGCGTATTTTCAGTAGAGACAGGGTTTCACCATATTGGCCAGGATGGTCTCGATCTCTTGACCTTGTGATCTGCCCACCTCGGGTTCCCAAAGTGCTGTGATTACAGGCATGAGCCACTGTGCTTGGCCAAGAAACTTAATTTTTAATATGTCAACTCTACTAAAATGTATATACACTCAATAAAATTCCAACAGAGATCTAAGAGAAACTTTTGACAAATTAAGCCTACTCTATAATTTTTATAATAGCATAAAGTTAAGTAAGTAAATCTATTATAATTCTAAAAATGAAGAGCAAATATATATGTGTATACATATATATTTATACACATATATACACATATGTATGTATACACATATATACACATATGTGTACATGTATATGTACATATACTGTGTACTGAACACTGTTGAACATTATATACATATTAACCCATGTATGGGTTAACACTAATAGAGTTTATGAAGTAGACATTATTATGTTTATTTTATAGATGTATAGACGGAGGCACAGAGAGTTAAATAAGGTACCCAAATTTGTTTATTTTTCTTTAAGTAGTTAGGAGGCAAGATTTTCCCCTAAACTGTTTCTGTCCATAATCAGTGCTTTTTACTCCTTTGCTATACTGTCTTTGAGGAAGTATATACATATATAGCTAATGTTTGCAAGAACAGCCTCAATGATAAAAATGAAAATGCATATTAATACAAAAAAGCATACCCTTTTGCAAGTAGCAGATTGATGAAAATTTAAAGTCAGAACGCTATGAAATATAAGAATATAGAGAAATTGAAAACTTCAATTTTGCTAGTGGGAATGTAAATGTGCAGACATTAGGTTATTTGTTAATATCTGGTAAAAACATATATGCAAATCTCCCATGTCCAGTAGTCATTCGCACAGCAAAATATAGATCCTCGCCAAACCTTTCCCACAAGTCTGCAAGGAGATACTGATAAAGGCATTCATCACGGGTTGTAATCCTTGGTAGCCAAGAAGTATAGGCAATCTACAAGTCAGCCACTGGAGGAATAGATTTATAACTGTGGTGTGTGTATATATATATATATATATGTATGTATATATATATGTATATACACACACACACACATAAGTTAACATAAGTACACATGCACACACACGTATGATAACATGTGATAAATGGCATGCCTCTAATATAATGAGTTATATTTACTATAGGAACATGGGTATATCTAAGAACTCCAGTGTTAAATTTTTTTTTTTTTTTTTTTTTGAGACGGAGTCTAGCTCAGTCACCCAGGCGCGATTTCTGCTTACTGTAAGCTCCGCCTCCCGGGTTCACGCCATTCTCCTGCCTCAGCCTCCAAGTAGCTGGGACCACAGGCGCCCGCCACCACGCCCGGCTAACTTTTTTTTTTTTGTATTTTTTAGTAGAGACCGGGTTTCACCATGTTAGCCAGGATGGTCTCGATCTCCCGACCTCGTGATCTGCCCGCCTCGGCCTCCCAAAGTGCTGGGATTACAGACGTGAGCCACTGCGCCCAGCCCTCCAATGTTAAATTTTAAACAATACAATTTATAGGACAATTCTGCTTATGAAAATGAAAACTCATACTTAAATCAAATATATATAATTTTTAAGATACAGTTATACCTAAGTCAGCCTAATTTAGATGCACTGAAGGTATGCATTAGGTACACTAGAGAAACTGCCATGGGTTTTGTGGGTGGGGGGAAAGTAGAAATTCGCCTCATGTGAAAAAAATGCAACAAAAATAACAGAGAAGTTGAAAATGCAAGAAATATTAACTTACAAACATGTATCTTTATTGTTTGGAACATTAATATTTTGTTAATCAAAAATAAAATTTTGCATACATTTAATATATCAATTTCTTTCATCTATTTTCTGCTAAAAATTGAAAGATTCAGTATTTTCAAAATAAGCTCCTATAATACTAAAGTCAATAGCAGATGTGCCTGCAACCATTTGAAATGTACATATATACATTTTACAGCTTCATGCTTTAACAGTCCTTAATTTAATAATTTTTAGCCTAAGGCTGTTAAGACACTGGTTTCCCTTTAATAAGCATACTGATGAAACATACATTTATTTTAATAATATGTCTAGTATTTTTTCATTTAATTAATAGTCAAGAAATATTTTAAAGAAGATACATTTAAAATGAGGAGCTTTTCTGAAAATAAAGCCAAAAACATGATTGTTATATCTAAAACTTCAGCATTCTAATATAAGGCATTATGAAAATGAGATATTAAGATATCCATAGTATTAATCCAATTCATTTTATAACTCATTTTTCATTTTAATGCCAACTGAATATAAATAGAATGAGAGTGTTTAATCCCTAGCATTGCCTCTTGAGAGTTTTCCTTGATTTCAGATATGATGTGAATTCGGGATGACTCATTCAATATGATTCAGTGCCCTTGAGGAAGGTTGAATTGAATAGCTCAAACAGGGAAGAAGAATTCCCTACAGCATCCCAGACTGTAGCATTTTTAAAAGCTAGAAATATTTTTCTACACAATTAGCACAAAATCACATTGTTAGGGATTTGCCTTCAGGTCATTAACTAATACATTCACTAACAATTTGCACAAAGTAGAATTTAAAAAATAAAAATTTTTCTGCCTGAGTCATAACTGTGACGGACTTGGAATTAAACCATTCCAATTCTTGCTGGAATTCTGTCAATAGTCTTCTACTTTTAGTATTTCTGTTGTAACCCTGAAATGACATCCAAAAATGTATTTTCTATCTCATCTTTTAATTTAATTTTTAATATTTAATTATTTTTAAACAAAATTCATCTCTTTTATATTTGATTATTCTTTTCTTGATAAGAAAGGTGTCTTTTATCATAAAAATTAGAACACTGTGTTCTCTGTAAAATTGTGTTAATGTTGTGGCATTTGTCCAGTGCACAGAAGGATCATATTAAATATTTAATATTGTGACAAAGACTAAAGAATAAGTAGAATAATACAGCATTTATGAAGAAAACTGACCATAATTCAAGATAATCTTGAATTTGGGATATCTCCCAAATAAGAAATTTGGAAAAAAAAAAACTTTAAGTATGTTGTTGGATGTTAGTATGTAAATCCTACACTTAGGCAGGGTGAAAATTCTCTAAAATCAAGTCCTAAAAGGCATATCAACAGTTCTTAGATTAATATGATCTATCAGTATAACTGGGGCATAGAACAATTTGGGCAACATCTTCACAGGGGCATAATTACATGTCGCAGAATAGCAGCCCAGTTCTTATTCATGTTAAGTGACAGAACCTGAGATTTTGCATATGCCAAAACAAGAATATAATCATTTTCCCAGCTCATAGGGTTTTGTGAAAATTAAAAGTATTTACATCATTAAGAAGGATAAAGTGATGGAGAAAAATGCATGTAAAGGGACTGTAAGACACTCACTAGCAAAGTAACTCAGTTCCATCTTTCAACATTGTGACCATGGATATGTGAGTCTGCCTCAACAAAATTACAAGTCAGTTTCTCCAAATTGGTAAAAACATGATAGCTCACAGCTGTTTGGGGGACACACTCCTCACAGGACTGCCTATATCCTAGAGATGTGCGGGTATCTTGGAGTAAGTTGAGAACTCCAATACTCCCTTTGCTCTCTTCTTGGCATATTCACACAGGCCAGTGACACTATTACAGACAACTGAGAGGGCAAGAGTAATGGCAACAGGTATGGAGTTCCCATCTTCCGGAAATGTGGTAGAGTAACCTCCTGCCAACTGGGGCTTTCCTCCTCTGATAGCACTATCAGTCACTTTGAGGATGGCAGGAGAAAAGCTACAGAAGTTTGAACCCTCAGGACAAGATGGAAAAAGGAAGTCAGCATCTCATCTCTCTACAGAATGAAACGTTGTTGGAGAAAAAAATCTAACCTGACTGGAGAAGCTAAGATTAATGTAGAGACTCTTGATAGCATTAGATACAGTATCTAAGAGATACACCAAGTTCCAGCAGGCAGGACTTGTCAAGAATGGAATTATTTGAATATGTTTATTTTCCTTGTTTGTTTCCTCTCTATTCCATCTCCATCGGATTCTTTGTACAAGAATCTTTGTTTTCTTCATCTTAATCTTAAAAGCTTTAAAGAGGAGTAATTATTAATCTATTTTAAGGTACATGTACTGCAATTGTCTATCTGAATCTTCATGTGTTATCCACTTTGCTAAATTGTGCCATGGAGAGTTTTTTTAAATTTATTTTAAGTTAAAAATGTCTAATTTTTTTAAAGATTCTAGGTATTTTTTGTTCATTATGATGGCATAACTTTAATTTGTGATATTATGATTGACCTCAGACATCCTGAGGAGTATCTGTGTCTTATTATAGTGTTATCTGCTAAATCATGTCTCCTCAAAATTCATAGGTTGAGGTTCTGACCACCAGTACCTCAGAATGTGACTACATTTGGAGAAAGGGCCTTTAAAGGGGGTCAGGGAGTGTTTAAAGTATAATAAATGGATATGCATAGGCCGTGAGCCAATATAACTGTTTTCCTTATGAGAGAATATTAGGGCACAGAGAGTACACAAAGGGAAGGCTATGTGAAGACACAGAAGATGGCCATCTACCAGCCAAGGTTGGAAGCCTCAGAAGAAGCCAACCCTGTTGACACCTCGATCTTGGACTTCCAGCCTCCGGAACTGTGAGGGAATAAACTATTATTTAAGCCATCTAGTTTTTGTTCCTTTGTTGTGACATCTCTAGAAAACTAATACATTTTGGTGTATATATAGATCTAAAAATAATAGACATACCTATATAAAAATGTGCTGTGTTCTGGTAGTAATAATAAGGAAAAATAGAGAATATACCCAAATTTATCTCAGATAATAACCCAATGTGAATATCACTAAATGACTAATTCCTCTTTTTTGTAATATATTGAAATGAAACATCATATAATGAAATCCCATACGTACCTAGGTGAAAACCTGAACTCTATTCTGCACTGCATAGGAGACTCTATGTAGGTTTGGTGCTTGAAAAACAAATTTTTGGACATGTTATCAGTGAAGTGGACTTGGAAACACAAAGATTGTGGTTAATGCTAAGATCTGAAATATGTGGGTTTTAACCTAATATGCAAGTATACCAAACAAAGGTAATGCCTATCTTGGTCAGGATTGGTTTAAGAACTGTGGAGCCCAAGACTAGATGATGTTGTAGAAGAAAGCAGCAAAACATGAAGCCAGCCAAAGAGGTTGTATTATCACTGTTATACTAATAATTTACTGCCTTTACTAGAGAAAAATGAAGCTAGTCTATAATAATTCAGTTTTCTATAATTACACTGACTCCTTTTAATTGTCTGATTTCTGCTAAATGAGCTTGAAGATCATCTTTCAGATTATATTAGTCAGAATTTTTCCTTGGTTTGGTACAAATAAGCAGCATGATTCAGATGTATTTTTTTTTACTTTGGCTATAATTTAGTTTCATTTCATTCCTGTCATATGCAAGCAATTAAAAATAGATACCATCTTGTCTTCAATCTAATGTAATTAATATACCTATACTAAAATTTCATTATTTAGTAATAGTATGATTATGTTTACATGATTTTTTCACATAAAACTAAGCTTATTAATAATATTTTAAACAGAATTATAATGAAAGCTCTTAATCATATTTTTAAAATAATTTAATAAAATGTATTTATGTAATGTATATCTGTAAGTAGATTTATTTTATTAATGCTCTAAATGTACAAAACAAAACATAATATTTCATTGTTTCAGTGAAAATGCCTTGCCTAGTTTTTAAAAATATTCTAGACTTTTTACAGAGAAGGAAGATAAATAACTTGGTTTATCAGTTGTTCATTGTCTTTATTGCAACAATCATGTCGTGTAGCTAACCCTGCACCAGTGAAAAAATTGGTAAGTATTTATTAGGTGCACAGAATTGTTGGTTGGTGATTTAGAGTTGTTTTTTCTTTGTTGTTCTGGTCTACACTGTGCTCGTGCACACATCTGTCATCAGATGGCTGTTGGCCTCCAATGGGATGACTGGTAGAAATTAAATCTGCATAACATATCTCCCACCTATAGCAAGCTAACGGAAGAATGCTCTGAGGCAGTGGTAAAGGTAGTAGTGAGAAAGTGGAAATAGACAACTGAGTTTTCGAGGTTCTGCTTGAGTCAACAGCCCACATTCATTTGGTCAAAGCAAGCACTGTGATTTAGCCAAGGTTCAGTGTAGGAGAGCAACTGGGGTGAAGATAAAGAATGGTGATAAAATAAAATTGTTTCTTCAAACTATCAAACTTGAGAAGTTGAATCCCTAATGCTTATGGAAAAGATTTATAGGGGTTCTGTAGGTCTCATTTATTAAGGCACTATGTGTTGCAGTGATTCAAATTTTGCCTCTAGCTTTATATTCTAATCACTCTAAATTAGAAAAGTTTAAATAAATTTGATCACTAGTATTCACATTTTTCTCTATGTAATGATAATTTCTATAAACAAAATGGTGCTAAATATTTTTTAGAGGTACAGAATACATCTAAGTAGATGTAACTTCACTGCCTCAAAGATATACTCTGGGATGTTAGAATTCAAAAATTAAAGGTTAAAGCAGAATAATGGGGGATATCATACATTTCACTTTAATATTGTTGAGTAAACCTCTTATTTCTTTGGTAATTTTTTTCAGAGATAATATGTACATCAAAATTATATGAATAATAATGATTATTATTATTTTCATTTAGCAAAAGTAACAACCAGAAACACTTTTTTAAATTCATCTAATTGAATACATTTTTGGCTTTTTAATCAGAATTTGGTTTATTACAATTTCTTCAGGCTATTTGCTCAGGATTCCTCTCTGGACTGTTAGGGTCACTGAACATAAGATATAGTAACCAGAACATAAAATAACTAACAATTCATTATTCTCAGTTTCTTTCAATTTCTTCTTGAGTTTGTGTTATTTTTCACTTACTTTCATGCTTTCATTCCCCACACAGATAATCATATACTAATTCTATTTTGGAACAAGGACAGTAAAATATTATTTGATTCTTAAGTAATATAGATATATTATGTATATACTTTTTTTTTTTTTTTTTTGGAAATGGAGTCCCATCCTTTCACCCAGGCTGGAGTGCAGTGGTGTGATCTCAGCTCACTGCAACCTCTGCCTCCCTGGTTCAAGTGATTCTCCTGCCTCAGCCTCCCTAGTAGCTGAGATTACAGGCACCTGCCACCATGCCTGGATAATTTTTGTATTTTTAGTAGAGACGGGGTTTCACCATGTTGGCCAGGGTGGTCTCGAACTCCTGACCTCAGATGATCCGGCCGCCTCGGCCTCCCAATGTGTTGAGATTATAGACATGAGCCACTGTGCCTGTCCAATGTAGATATATTAAAATAGATATTAATAAAATAATAAAAATAGTTTTTAGAAAAAAAAGACTTCATGCATTGTTTCAATTTTTTTTGTTTTTACTATTTATAATGTAAATCATAGTCAACAAATTATATATATCAGTAATGTCTTGTGAAATTTCTTTAAAAGATATTTGATGCTGGCCAGGCACGGTGGCTCACGCCTGTAATCCCAGCACTTTGGGAGGCTGAGGCGGGTGGATCACCTGAGATCAGGAGTACGAGACCAACCTGACCAACATGGTGAAACCCTGTCTCTACCAAAACTACAAAAAATTAGCTGAGCATGGTGGTACATGCCTGTAGTCCCAGCTACTCGGGAGGCTGAGGCAGGAAAATTGCTTGAACCCGGGAGGCGGAGGTTGCAGTGAACTGATATTGTGCCATTGCACTCCAGCTTGGCACAAGAGCGAGATTCCATCTTAAAAAAAAAAAAAAAAGATACTTGATGCTATGAATATCTGAAATTAATTAGACAATATTCACAGACTATAAAACAGTAAAACATGTAGATTTTATTATTTTCTTCATGTAGTTTTCAAGTACTGTACTTTGATTTGAAGTAGGCTGGTAAATGTTTAACAACCAGATCTGAAAAACAAAGTCCTAATTTGAAGGAAACAAAGTTCAAGCTTCCAACATGATGTCATAAGTGTTAAATTGATTGTGTGTAGGCTCCGTGAGCAGGTTCCTACATTATACTGAATCCTTGATTATCTCATCTCATTTTCTTCCAATCGT